>NC_000015.10:88714005-88865520 GCF_000001405.40 Homo sapiens | reverse complement strand
GCAAGACGTCACTATGCCATTTACAGGTGAGAAAACATGTGAATTCTTTAACATGTTTGAGATGTAAAAACAAAACAGAAAAGAAAGAAAGAAAGAACAGAAAGAAAACAAGTGAGGTGACTTGCCCAACCTGGGTGTTGGGGAGACAGAGTGGAAGAGATGGAGGAGTCAGGAAATGAGACTGGAAGTTGGCTTCTGCCCCACGTGGAGGGAGAGAGACACTGGAGTCCTGGACTGTCAGCACCTCCTTAGCATTGCTGCTACAGCTACCCAGGGCTCACTCATCATCACTGAGCAGGGACTCTGGGGAGCATCAGGATTCTCAGGGTCCTCTTCCCACTACTATAACCAAAAGGGCTGGTTTGTTCCTGAACAAGGCCCTCCAGCAATATCTCTAACTTGGGAGAGAAAATAACTGAGAGCCCCTGATAAAGGCCAGGGGAGTAGAGATAGTTGCAAAGCATCACGTGGTTGTCTGAATTGGAGACGTCAGGCCTCCACCTTGAAAAGATCTTGTCCAGCTTTTGCCTAGGTCACAGCCCAGGACCTCCAAGTGAGTGAGAGTTTATTTGCTCATAAAAAATGCTGAACGAAGAGCAATGCAGGTGCTAAAACTCAAATGATACTGAACTAAAAGGGTTGCCACTCATAAAGACTACAATATGAATGGAACTCCTCAAGCTGTTCAGTGCATACTTGTGCAGCTGTATGTGGTGATTCTGGACATAACTTTCCTGGGCAAGGATGGGGGAAACCTCTTAAGAAATACAGATAAAATTTCTCAATTCAATGGATGCTCTGCATGTTGCAAAGACCTGGGATCAATGAAGATGAACAGACCTGAGTAGATACACTAACTTTCTGGTTGTCTCTTACACAAATGAAAGAAGGATTATAAAAGCATATTCACCAGTCCTAATTTGCTTTTAAGATAAATTAATTAAATTAAAAATATAGGCCCAGCGCGGTGGCTCACACTTGTAATCCCAGCACTTTGGGAGGCCAAGGCGGGTGGATCAGAAGGTCAGGAGTTCAAGATCAGCCTGGCCAACATAGTGAAATCCCATCTACTAAATATACAAAAAATTAGGCAGGCGTGGTGATGTGTGCCTGTAATCCCAGCTACTTGGGAGGCTGAGGCAGGAGAATCGCTTGAACCCAGGAGGTGTAGCTTGCAGTGAGGGGAGATTGTGCCACTGCACTCCAGCCTGCATGACAGTGCGAGACTCTGTCTTAAAAAAAAAAAAAGGTTATAACATATGCTATCATTATTTGTACTATTTCAAATCTTTTGTATTTTAAAGGTTGATCTTGAATATAACTTTAATATCTTGCTTTATTTTTGAGACAGGGTCTCACTCTGTCACCCAGGCTGGAATGCAGTGGCACAACCATGGCTCACTACAGTCTCAACATCCTGGGCTCAAGTGAAACTCCTACCTTAGCTTCCCAAGTAGCTGGGACTAAAGGCATGTGCCACCATACCAAGCTAATTAAAAACATATATTTTTTGTAGCAGTGGGATCCCACTGTGTTGCCCAGGCTGGTCTTGAACTCCTGGGCTCAAGTGATCCTCCTGCCTCGGCCTCCCAAAGTTCTGGGATTACAGGTGTGCACCACTGTGCCCAACAATATCCTGCTTCTTAAATCAATCAGTTGCCTGTTAAAATCTGCCCAGGAACTTTTTGGTTAAGTCAAGAAGGCATACTTTGTATTTTCACTTGCAACCCTATATTTTCATTTGCTTTGAAAACATTTCTTTCTCAAGGATAGAGGTTTCTCTGAAATTCAAACATCTCTCCTAGAGGAAGAGAGAGTGGAAAGTCATAGATCAGAGCTTCAAACCTAGAAACTGAAAAATAGCAGTAAGATAGGAAGGAAACTGATTCAGTTTAAGGTCGTGCCCTCCTAACAGAGGAGATAAGAGAAGGCTACATAGCACCAGTGATGACTGGAAATTGGATGTGAGATCTGGTTAGAACAGTATTTTTCATCCTTGGCTGGCACATTAGAATTACTGGAGTAGTTTTTAAAAATATTCCTATTTAAAGATTTTTTAAAAATACCAATGCTGAAGTTCCTCTTTAGACCAATTGAATCAGACTATCTCAGAGTGGGGCCCAGGCATGATGCTTTTTAAAAGCACTCCAGGTGATTCTAAGCTGCAGCCAGGATAGAAACCTTAGAGTCTGAAGCCTAATTCCCTTGGGTGATGTCAGTAATGGAAGTGGGGAAAGACGCTGCTGTTTTTGAAGTGGGTCAGAATAGAATAGTCTTGCTTTTAATTGCTAAATAACTTATAATAACTTATCAAGAACTTATTTATGGAAGATTGACTAAAAAAGATGACAGTAATTGTCAATTTTTTTTAAGGACTAAATACAGCTTCTGACCCCCTTGACCAGGTGGAAGTTTTCCCTGAGGATTCAAATATTACTGCAGGAATCATGCTGCATTTTGCTCCCTATGGCCCCCCGAGGATACTGATCCATGGTCTTGTTTCTTTTTTTTTTTTTTTTTTTTGAGACCGAGTGTCACTCTGTCACCCAGGCTGGAGTGCAGTGCAACAATCTCGGCTCACTGCAACCTCCGCCTCCTGGGTTCAAACAGTTCTCCTGCCTCAGCCTCCCGAGTAGCTAGGATTACAGGGGTGCGCCACCACACCAAGCTAATTTTTGTATTTTTAGTAGAGATGGGGTTTCACCATATTGATTAGGCTGGTTTCGAACTCCTGACCTCAGGCAATCCATCCGCCTTGGCCTCCCAAAGTGCTGGGATTACAGGCATGAGCCACTGCACCTGGCCGATCCGTGGTCTTTTTAACAACCTGTAGTTCCTGATTGTGGTGCAAGACAATCGTGGGTCACCCGTGAAGACTGGCCACTATCTGCAGTCCTTCTGGAAGCACTTGAACCTTGAGCTAAGTTGAACAAGAGTGACCTGGGACCCCAAGGTACAGTCATGGGAAAAGAGACCCAGGTTTTGTGCTGGGCTGATCCCCACCACTCACTCTTTGGAGATGCTAAAGCTTCTCTTAGCCAGTAGAGTGAGAGATGGGGAAAGGGAAGCAATTTTTATTAAATGCCTCTTCTGACCAGATGTTGTACATGGGTGATCTTCACCCTCACAGCAGCGGTTCTCAGTCCTGGCTGCACATTGGAGTCGCCTGGGAGTTTTAAAAACCTCAATGCCAAGGCCACAGAACCACTTCAATCACAATCTGTGGGGGTAGATCTCAGGCATCATAATTTTTCAAAGCTGAGAACCATTACCATCGATCCCTGTTTACAAATGAGGAAAATGAAGGCTGGGCTGCAAGTCTTGAATCCGACCACCTCAGATTCCTCAGCTCCTCCCCATTCTGGCTCCCCTGAAGTCCAGCTTCAGTTTTTTGAGACCAGCAACTGGTTGTTATGTTCAAGAGGGAGTTTCTTATTTAGCCGAGTGTGTTAAACACGTGAATTAAGGTCTTGATTCTTGATTCAATCCACTTACTCAGTATAGTTAGGCAAATTACTTAACTCCTCTGAGTTCCAGTCTCAAATGGGGGTAGTTACCAAGCTGCTTACAGAGCCATCTGGGGAGAAATCGTGGGAACAAAAGCCCTGTGGAAATATACATGATCACAGAGAGGCTGTCCTTACAGCAGAATAGTTACGGCCCACTGACACTTACTCCTATTAATTTCAGGGCTGCCAAGAACATGAGCCTTGCTTTGACTTCTGATGCTAGTGTCAGATTTTTGCCTCAAGTATCAGGTTAAGAAGGATTTCCCAAGAGTGGAGTCACCCATCAGGGGTGAGTGATGGTGGGGTGCAGCTATGGTCCCTGGGGTCACTATGGCCCAGTGGAAATGCTGTCCCCTTCTGCAGTAAGCCCGGGACCTTCCCAGGATAGCCCACCCTCTCTGTCCTTGCAGCCCACACGTTGGGGAAAGAGTGAATGAATATCTACCCTAACGTCTGTTTATATATACATATATAGTTACTGCATATGTACCATGTATACAGCATGTTTATATGATATATAATAATATATAATGATGTATTAATTTGCATGTATATTAATATATATAGACACAGAATTCTTCTCTGTGTTTGATGTAAAGGCTATCGAAGGATAATTGCCCGACATGAGGTTTACGTGGAAGTGATTGTTTTTTCTCCAGGATTCGTTTTTTCATTTTTGCACATGTCCTAGGAGTGACCCCTTTTATGAAAGACCCTAGGTCTCTGATTCTTGACCTAGGAGGGAGGCTGGGGATAAGGGCACTGGGGTTAGTGGGAGAACTAATGAAAGAACATGAGCTTGGTGGTAACTGGGCATTTCTTTCCTCAAGGTGGTGATGTTGATAAGATGAGATGAGATGTCCTCATGACCACGGGCCTCCCGTGTGTCCGTGGAACAACAGGTAGATTCTAACCATCTCCTTCCGGGGTCCACCTCAGATCAGAGGGTCCCCAGCCTCTCCACCCATCCCACAGGCTGCTTCACCCATAGCTAAGGACAAACAGGCTCATGGTGGGTGCCTGGGCAGACGTGCTGCTGGGTTACAGCTGCCCTACATCCACGAATCCCTGTGCTGGGTGATTACCGTTGTTTGTGTCATTTCCTTCAGGGCAAGAAGGGGACCCAAACCCCACGCAGACCCAAGCATGGAGGCAACTTGGTGGGGTTCACTCTGCACGATACAAGATGGCCCCACTCAGACACTCCTCACCAGGAGCGGAGAGGTGTGACCCGCTGTATTTAATACTCACCCCATGCTCGATATTTCTTTGAAGTCTCATCTCCAAAATTCAAGCACATTTTTCATTCTACTCCTACAATAGTCATCAGCCTGATATAAAAATACTTAGCAACTTAATTACTTGACTCTTTTCTCCTAAACCTAGACATTCGAGAAAGATAAGCCATGTCTGTCCTGTGGCTTCTGCCCCTGACATGTCATCATGCAGCTCCTTCCCAGCCTGAGCCTCAGTGGACCTTGGTTGCCTCCTCCCACCTGGGGACCCTTTGGGGGATGAAGAAGTCTGTCCAGCGCCTCCGCCCTCACTCTCCACGGCCAATGAGGGCCTTACCTATGTTACAGTGCTCGCCAGTGTAGCCAGGGGGGCACAGGCATATGACGTGTCCCTCTGTCTCCTTGCAGGTCCCAGCTCCACAGGGCTCCTCTGCACAGGACCTGGCGGGGGCTGCAACCCCCAGGGGAGAGGTTGAGCATCAAGAACACAGTCACCTGGCTACCATGGCCTCCAAGACCTCAAAGTTGGGGCATGAGGTTCCTGAAGTCCACGAGGCTGGCTTTGGGTCAGCACTTTTCTGAGGCCTCTGTCCCTCCTGGGCACCTGGCCCACAGCATCGGGGGGAGCTCTCTAGCTGTGAAAGCTCTCTCAGCACAAAGGAAGGTACAAGGGACCCCAGAGCAAAAAAAAAAAAAAAAAAAAAGGAAAATCAGCTACCGCTACCAGTGCCCGCTGCCCGGCACTTGGAGTTATGTCACGGTGAGACAATCATGATAGTACAGGAGCCCCTTTGTACACGGATGGGGTTGGGGATGCAGAATCTAAAACCAGATAGCCAAATGACACTTCATAGTTCCTTAAGTTGTGCAGGTTTTAACCCTGCACAAAATAAATATTCAGACATAAACACCATCAGCAGATTTACTCTCTCATCTTACACTCACTCCGGGGCAGGGTGCATGAGCAGAATTTCTAGCACTATCTAGACAGTCATCCTTCTCTCCCTGTGCCAAGTACAGATAGTTGAATTCACGTGTAAAAACTCACGGACTGTAACTCCGCTGTAACGATAACATCACTCATCTTTACAAGTGTGCACTGCATGCAGAGCGTGATGCTAAGTGCTTGCTTTATCTATCTATGTTTATGTTCTGCCTAATCTTCCCTGGTAGAGTATTATCCTACTCTTACGTTACAGATGAGGCTCAGAGAGGGGAAGACTATTGCCTGAGGCTGCACAGCTAACCTTTGGTGGAGTTGTTCTTGGAACCTTAAAGCTATGCTGCCTCCTTCTGTGCTGCAGTAGGCTACAGTCTGAACTACCTAAGCACATTTAAAGGGGGAAAAAATCACAATACCTGCAGCAGTTGATTCTGATTCACGTTTCCATTCCGGAGAAGCTGGGATGGAAGCATCTGTTGGGGAGGTGGCTGTTTCGACTGTGTGAGTCTCTTCTCCTGAGTACAGGAGGCTTGAGGACTCAATTTCTAGATGCGTCTCTGCAGGGCGCTGGGTCTGCTGGGTCCACTCAGACTCTGGGATGCTGGTGCTGATGACAACGCCCAGCTGCGAGGTGTGACCAGACAGGTCTCCGCTGATTTCAGTCCTGTCTCCAGAAGCCGTGGGAGTGGCTGAAGGCAAGCCTGGTGCCTCTGTCCCCACATCACTGGTGGTGGTGGATTCTCCACTCACTTCTGGGGCAGCGGACGCCTCGCCTTCTTGAAATGTCAAAGTGCTGCCGCTCACTCCTAGGCCAGAGGATCTCTCAAGGTTAGCTTCGTGGAATGCAGAGGTGGTTTCACTCAGATCAGGGGACCCAGAATCTTCTCTGCTGGCCTCAGGGGCGGCAGATGCCCCGAACCCAGCTTCAGGATAGGCGGACGTCTCACTGCTAGATTCTGGGACTGATGATACTTCTACTCCAGACCCAGGGAGCACTGGGGTAGCTCCACTAATGTCCCCAGCTGTGGAGACTTTTCCACTGGACTCAAAAAGCTGGGGTGTGTGTGTCACAGGGGGCCTTTGGCCTAGTTCCTGAGAAATAGTTGGTTCAGTAACACCCTCCACGAACTCAGAAGTGATTAAAGTAACTTCTGGAAGTCCTGAGGCCTCTCCACTGGTGCCCATGGCTACAGAGGATTCTCCACTTACATTGGTGGTGCTGGCAAAATCCCCACTAAAATATGGAGTACCTGGTGGCTCTCCGCTGGGCTCTATCAGCCCGGACTGCAGCCCACTTAGGTCCAGAAATCCAGAATGCTCCCCAGACATGTCTGGTGCTCCAGAATGAGCACCACTGAGTTCTAAAATGCCAGAAGGCCCTTCTCCTGCCTCTTGGGCTGTTGGAGCCTGGGTTACAGATTCCACCAAAGTTCTGTCTACAAGAGAGACAGTGGGGAAACTAGATGGAGTTCCACTGCCATAATATGCTCCCGAGGGCAGGCTGCTCCCAATCTCAGCTCTGGAGGATTCTCCACTGACCTCAGCTATGCCACTTGGTAGGCCACTGAATTCCGGAGTCTGGGATGTAAACCCACTGGAATCGACTGTTCCAGAAAACTGTCCACTGACATCCACCATCCCAGATTTGCCTGACAGATCTGCCTCTCCGGAAGGGAGGCCACTGAGTTCCACAGACCCTAAGCCTTCTTCTTCTTTAAATGTAGTAGGGGCCACTTCAACCAAACTGGTGTCCACAAATGTAATCCCAGAAGATTCACCGCTGCCACTCGTGGTACCAGAAACCAGGTCAGGGACTCCTGATGTTGCCCCACTGAACCCTGGTAACCCTGAAGGCTGCCCACTGAGATCAGGGACCCCAGATGTTTCTCCACTCAGATCAGTTATGCCAAAGGGTTGACTAGTGCCATAAAGAACTCCAGATGCTTCTCCACTAATACCTGGTTGTCCAGAGGACAGCCCGCTAAGCTCAGTCACTCCAGATGTTTCCCCACTAGTGTCAGGAAACCCTGATGGCTGTCCACTGACACCAAAGAGTCCAGGTATTTCCCCACTGACATCAGGAGACCCAGATGCTTGGCCACTGAGTTCAGTTCCTGAAGGGAGTCCACTAGCTCTCCCACTAATGTCCAGCTCACTGGAGGGCAGTCCAGATATTTCTCCTGCACCACTGATGCCAATGGTTCCCCTCCCTTCCAGTTCACTTGCAGTGGAGGCTGTGACCACTTCCACCAATGTAGAATCCACTAGGGAAACAGTTGGGAATCCAGATGGAAGTCCACTAAAGTCAGGCAGGCCAGAGGGTGGGCCACTTCCAAGGTCCACCCCAGAATACTCACCACTAAATCCAGAGGGAAGACCACTTGTTTCTGGAGCTTGCCCACTTCCTAGAGTTCCAGAAGGCAGTTTGCCCAAGTCCAAGTCTCCAGAAGCTGACCCCACCAAGTCTTCTTTTCCAGAAGGCAACCCACTGAGGTCCTCAGCTCCAGAAGCTGAAGTCTCTAGACCCTCCCTTCCAGAAGGAAGCCCACTGAGGTCAGTCCCTACTTCAGAAGCAGAGGTCTCTAGACCTTCTCCTCCAGAAGGAAGTCCACTGAGGTCCCCAAATCCAGAGGCAGAAATCTCTAGAACTTCTTCTCCAGAAGGGAGCCTGCTGAGGTCCTCTACTCCAGAAGCAGAGGTCTCTAGACCTTCTCCTGAAGGAAGTTCACTGACATCCTCTATTCCAGAGGCAGAAGTCTCTACAACCTCTCCAGAAGGAAGCCCACTGATGTCCTCTACTCCAGAGACAGAAATCTCTAGAACTTCTCCTCCAGAAGGAAGTCCACTGAGGTCCCCTACCGCAGAGGTAGAAGTCTCTAGAACTTCTCCAGAAGGAAGCCCGCTGATCTCCTCTACTCCAGGGGCAGTAGTCTCTAGAACTTCTCCAGAAGGAAGCCCACTGATCTCATCTACTCCAGGGGCAGTAGTCTCTAGAACTTCTCCAGAAGGAAGCCCGCTGATCTCCTCTACTCCAGGGGCAGTAGTCTCTAGAACTTCTCCAGAAGGAAGCCCGCTGATGTCCTCTACTCCAGGGGCAGCAGTCTCTAGAACTTCTCCAGAAGGAAGCCCGCTGATGTCCTCTACTCCAGGGGCAGCAGTCTCTAGAACTTCTCCAGAAGGAAGCCCGCTGATGTCCTCTACTCCAGGGGCAGCAGTCTCTAGAACTTCTCCAGAAGGAAGCCCGCTGATGTCCTCTACTCCAGGGGCAGCAGTCTCTAGAACTTCTCCAGAAGGAAGCCCGCTGATGTCCTCTACTCCAGGGGCAGCAGTCTCTAGAACTTCTCCAGAAGGAAGCCCGCTGATGTCCTCTACTCCAGGGGCAGCAGTCTCTAGAACTTCTCCAGAAGGAAGCCCGCTGATGTCCTCTACTCCAGGGGCAGCAGTCTCTAGAACTTCTCCAGAAGGAAGCCCGCTGATGTCCTCTACTCCAGGGGCAGCAGTCTCTAGAACTTCTCCAGAAGGAAGCCCGCTGATGTCCTCTACTCCAGGGGCAGCAGTCTCTAGAACTTCTCCAGAAGGAAGCCCGCTGATGTCCTCTACTCCAGGGGCAGCGGTCTCTAGAACTTCTCCAGAAGGAAGCCCGCTGATGTCCTCTACTCCAGGGGCAGCGGTCTCTAGAACTTCTCCAGAAGGAAGCCCGCTGATGTCCTCTACTCCAGGGGCAGCGGTCTCTAGAACTTCTCCAGAAGGAAGCCCGCTGATGTCCTCTACTCCAGGGGCAGCGGTCTCTAGAACTTCTCCAGAAGGAAGCCCGCTGATGTCCTCTACTCCAGGGGCAGCGGTCTCTAGAACTTCTCCAGAAGGAAGCCCGCTGATGTCCTCTACTCCAGGGGCAGCGGTCTCTAGAACTTCTCCAGAAGGAAGCCCGCTGATGTCCTCTACTCCAGGGGCAGCGGTCTCTAGAACTTCTCCAGAAGGAAGCCCGCTGATGTCCTCTACTCCAGGGGCAGTGGTCTCTAGAACTTCTCCAGAAGGAAGCCCGCTGATGTCCTCTACTCCAGGGGCAGTGGTCTCTAGAACTTCTCCAGAAGGAAGCCCGCTGATGTCCTCTACTCCAGGGGCAGTGGTCTCTAGAACTTCTCCAGAAGGAAGCCCGCTGATGTCCTCTACTCCAGGGGCAGTGGTCTCTAGAACTTCTCCAGAAGGAAGCCCGCTGATGTCCTCTACTCCAGGGGCAGTGGTCTCTAGAACTTCTCCAGAAGGAAGCCCGCTGATGTCCTCTACTCCAGGGGCAGTGGTCTCTAGAACTTCTCCAGAAGGAAGCCCACTGAGGTCTCCTACTCCAGAGGCAGAGGTCTCTAGAACTTCTCCAGAAGGAAGTCCACTGAGATCCCCAACTCCAGAGGCAGAGCCCTCTAGGATCTCAGCTCCAGAGGGCAGTTCACCAACCGTAGGAGTGCTGGGCCACTCAATTCTCTCTTCATCCCCTGAGGGTAGTCCACTTTCCACAGGCAGGCCTGAGCCCACTGTGGAAGTAAGACCACTGGAGTCCAGGTCTCCAGAGGGCAGTCCACTTGCCCTGTCCCCTGACAGCTGCCCACTGAAGTCAAGGTGTCCTGAAACATCTCCACTGCCTGTGAAGTCACCACTGACATCAGGGGCCCCAGATTCCTCCCCAGAGCTGGGCAGCTCAGTCCAGCTGGGCACGGGGGGTGAAGGTGTATACGGCTCTTCCGAGGCTGATGGTTCCTCTGAGGGGGATGGCTCCTTGGAGGGGAATGGCTCCTCTGAGGGGAACAGCTCCACTGAGGGGAATGGCCTCACTGAGGGGAATGGTTCCTCTGAGGGGGATGGCTCCTCTGAGGGGAATGGCACCTCTGAGGGGGATGGTTCCTCTGAGGCAGAGGGCACTTCAGTTGCAGAAGGGCCTTCTGTACTTTCCTCTGTTGCTGCGCCAGTGGGAGGCCAAGTAGGAAGGATCCCTGTAGGAAAGAAGGAAGAAAGATGAAGTGTGGGTTTATTAACTCTGCCCCACTTTAAGCTCAAATGTAGAATCTAAACTCCATTCTTTCCACAGTAAAATTTTTCTCTCAAGAGCTCAGCAACGTGTCCAAATGCTTTCTAATGGAACTGTGTAAAGTGTCTTGGAAATGAAGAAAGGAAAGAAGGAAGGAAGGAAGTATAGGGAGAAAAGAAGGCAGAAGGACAGGGAGAAAGGAAGGAGGGAGGTAGGGAACTGGGAAGCTCCCCCAGGTGCCCACAGGGCCATGGGCTACACAGGTTGTACTTTGTGTGAGATGCGGGGGCCACCATCCACACAACCCACTGGATGTGGGGGCCTGCCCACCACTGAAGACCACCAAGGTCATCCTGCAAGTACTTCCACATTACCATCTCATTGATTTGGTCCCATGGTTTTCAAAGCTTGGACTCGCAGCAAGAGCACCCTCTGGGAGCTTGAATAGAAAAGCAAATTCCTAGACCTCACCCCAGCCCCACTGATGACCTCACCCCAGCCCCACTGATTCAGCAACTCTGGGAAGAAGTCTGGCATACTGTGTTTTAGCAAGCCCTCCTTGTGATGCTGGGGCTCACTTCAGTGTAAGAACTGTGCATTTTAAGCCATCCTTCTGAGGAAGAAAGGGCCAGGTGGTGATGTTTGTAAACATACAGTGACTTTCTCCAGTTCTGAGAACTCTGTTACAGACAATTTGAAAAACAGAGAAATGAAAAAAGGAAACCCCACAATTCTAACTAATCAAGGCTACATTCTTTGCTTCAGCTCTTCTTTCCTTTGGCATTTGAAAAACAGCCACACTGCATTTTAACCTTGTATGTACTTTGGGGCCTACTTCCCAGATGGGGCCCCTGAGCACTGAGGGTGCTGGGTCCACTGAGCAGGTTTAGTTTGTTCTTGCTGAGAGGAGAATCTTAGAGGGGGAGGTGGGGCATGAAGCATAGCAGTGGTGCCATGAAAAAAAAAAAAAAGTTAGCTGGGCAGGACCCGAAAAAGATTCTTTTTATTTTGATAGGTATGTATGTATGTACGTATGTATGTATGTATGTATGTATGTATGTATCTATCTATCTATCTATCATCTATCTATTTATCTATGAAACACATCAGGATGACCATTTGCAGTCATAATATAACAGTTCCCTCTTCAATAAATTTACATTTCTTTCTTTTTTTTTGGAGAGAGGGTCTTGCTCTGTTGCCCAGGCTGCAGTGCGGTGGCACCATCTTGGCTGACTGCAACCTCCACGTCCTGGGTTCAAGTGATTCTCATGCCTCAGCCTCCCGAGTAGCTGGGACTACAGGTGCGTGCCACCACACCTGGCTAATTTTTGTATTTTTAGTAGACACTGGGTTTTGCCATGTTGGCCAGGCTGGTCTTGAACTCCTGGCCTCAAGTGGTCCTCCCACCTTGGCCTCCCAAAGTGCTGGGATTACAGGTGTAAGCCACCGTACTCAGCCCTACATTTCTTTTTTTTAAAGCAAGTCAACTTAAAGAAAAATACATGGAGCAAATGATAGTGCAAATCGTTCCCAGATATGGCTGAAATCAGCAAGGTGGTCAGGAACTGAAGTCTAGAAAACATTTCTACGGGGCTGCTGGAGCCACTTTCCCACTGGTAACTCCCCACTCGTGGTTGCCAGAGTCCTGTGCAAAGTCACACCCCGATGCCAAAGAGGACTCAGTCATTCTTCTCCTGGTGAAGGGCGAGGAAGGTCACAGGCAGGTGTGGCTGCTGGGTGAGGCTGCTAGGTCAGACTCTCCCCTGCTCTACAGAGGCATCCTAACCTTCTGATATGGAGGGAGGCCAGGCTTTGCATCTCCAATGCCCAGAAGAGCACCTGACACCACCAAATTGCTCTGGAACCATGCACAGAATGCTGATGCATAGCTGGATGAGTTAGTGGGAGCTCGGATATACTCCTTTCTTCAGATGCACATACCCCCAGGGAAACTGACTCTACCAGGTATACACACATACTACTGTACATTGTTTTAAATCAAGCTTTCCCCAGTTGGAAGCTGCTAGATATGAACAATGCTCTGTGGGAGTGGGGGGAGGCTCTGTGGTTCATTTGGGACACTCTACATCTATCACCTCCTCTTGGAGACTCACAGTGCACATTAGCACATTCAAGGCTCTGAGAAGGTCTGCAGTGAGGAAACCTGTTAATCTCTGTAAGCCAGCATTTCCCAAACTTTAGTGGCCACCAAACACTTTATCCAACAAGGTTTAGGGACTGCTGCTTTCATCCTGTTAAGTCTCATCTGGTTTAATTGTGACAGAGTTCAGGAAGTTCTGCCTGAGGAGGCCTGGCCCAGAAGAGGGAAATGGAAGGAGGAGAAAGGCAAGGAGACAGGTCACAGTCAGACTTCCAACAGTAACCCCCTCCCTGATTCTTTCTCCTCTATTAGAGATCTTCCCACAAGAGAGGGTTGAGGTTAGGGTAAGGGTGTCAGTGCAGGAGGACAAGGTAACTGAGGGCCCTCTCATCAGCACAGTCCTGGGCATTTGGGGGTTCATGCAAGGGAAATAAGGTCCAGAAAAGTAAATGTGTAATAAAAAAATTTTATGGACAAGGCTGTTTTTGTCACTCTGGGGCAGGTCCTAGAGGCCAGCTGAGGTGGCTGAAGTTGCCCATAGCAGAACACCCAGCCAGTGTCAGGGCTGGGGAAACAGCACAAATCCCAGGGAGGGAACCCCCCCGCCCCACCAGGCACACTGTAGGAAGACAGGGGTATGCAGCTTCAGGGTGTGCCCCAGAACCCAAGCCATACCAACCTGGCAGCGGGGATGTGCCCACTGGGGTATAGGCTGGTTCCCATTCTGTCTGGTTTTCTGGCTCGGTGGTGAACTCTAGGATGGCAGTAGTCTCCCCTGAGGGTACAGCAGTTGTCTCCTCTTCTACGGGGACAGCAGCCACACCAGGAACCACTTGGGTCACGATCCACTCCTCCACACCAGAGGGTGATGTGGGTGTGCCACCCTCTTCTTCTCCTGGAGAAGGAACCGCTGAAATGCCTAAAGGAGATGTGGGTGGTCAGAGTGAGTCCCTCTCTTACCAGTGACCCGTCCTTGGCTGGCCCTTCTTGAGGGGAGCTAGGGGACTCTGAGGTGGCCAGGCCCCACCTCCTAGTTCAGCAGATGGCTGTTTGCCTTCTCGCTTAGTAAGAGCCATCGGCACCAATGATATAATATCCATATGCACCATCAGCACTTTAGTTCCAGTGATCTGGGGCATCTCCCCTGCAGAATTGACCATATATGCCGGGCATTGCTCTAAAGCCTTGTGTATCTAAAATCACTTTATCTCACAACAGCTTTATGAGAGAGATATGATTATCTCATTTTACAGATGGGGAAACTGAGGCACAGAGTTACATGATTTGCCCAGAGTCAATGGCTTACAAATGTCAGATCTAGTCTTTGAATTTAAGCATCTGGTACCAGACTCCACGCTCTCAACTACTGAACAACCTTGGGGGACAGGGATTATGTTCCAAGTGTGTCACGACCAAAAATAGGAGGATGGTACTCAATTCCATGAAACCATCTCGGCATTTGAAAGCGTGAAGGCAGGATTCATGGGCTGGGGGTAACTGTACTGGTGTGGGGGAAACCAGCAGTGGGCTTGGTCAGCAAGGAAGCTGAACTGTGCAGGATAATACACAAGGCTGAGTTCACGGAGGGTCAGGGGTGGGAGGCTGGGGGCAGCATGGCTGGGAAATTTCTGGGAGGTTAACTGGCTTGGTTTCTGCTTCCCAGAGCAGGGAAGGGGCACTGGGACAAGAGCCTCATCAAAGCCTCTGGGAGAGAATTGGACTTGACTTATTGAGGCTGGCTGAACTTTGAATTTTTTTTTTTTTTTTTTGAGACAGAGTCTTGCTCTGCTGCCCAGGCTGGAGTAGAGCAGAATAATCTCGGCTCACTGCAACCTCCGCCTCCTGGGTTGAGGTGATTCTCCTGCCTCAGCCTCCCTAGTAGCTGGGATTACAGGTACACACCACCAAACTAGGCTAATTTTTGCACTTTTTTTTAGTAGAGACAGGGTTTCACCATGTTGGCCAGGCTGATCTCGAACTCCTAACCTCAAGTGATCTGCCTGCCTTGGCCTCCCAAAGTGCTGGGATTACAGGCGTAAGCCACTGCTCCTGGCCTTGAATTGGGTTTTAAAAGGTGACCCTGGATGTCTGGGAAACTTGGGGACACTCAAGTTTTTTCCCCTTAAGTTTATTTGAGAATAATTCTAGATTCACAGGAAGTTGCAAAGACACTCAGTTTTGATGTAAACTATAAAACATGGCACAGGCTGTTATTACAATCTACATTCTGGTCCATGCACCCAGACCCTCCATGGACTCTGCAGGAACTCATCCAGAGCCCAGCAATTCCGTGGCTATGCCCTGGCCATGCTTACTATATTGCTTGATGACATCACTCTCAGAAGTCCAGTGGGGAGTGATGGTTGAAATGGTAGCATATCCATAGCATAGGTCAACGAAAAACTTGAACCACCAGTGCTTAGTGAAGAATAATAGAATAATTTGACTAAACTCATCACAAAAATATTTGCAAGCAGGAGAGAATTTGACAAGAGTGTACAAATTACAGGTTGTACAAAATAAAGCTATATATTACAGCTTTACATATAGATATGTATATGAAATAAAGCTAACATTTATTGAGCATTTACTGTGTCCCAGGCACTATGCCAAGGGCACCACGTGCACTTAATTAATTCTTGCAGCTCTCTCTGAAGTAGGAACCATTATATCTCCATTTTCACACAGCTATTAAGTAGCAGAGCCATAACTCAAATTCAGGTCTGCTTCATTTCTAGTAGACATAAATACCAGCTCAAGTTCTTATTTATCTCTACTTGTCTCTGGGGAACTTTAGAAGGATGACCTTGCCTTGGGGTCAAAGCCTGCGTTGTGCTGGTTTCAGAGCTGGCTCTGCCCCAGAGGGACTGACATTTTCTTGCTCTGATGGATGGGATACTGGGTGGTGGCAGGATCCGGTGAACCCAGTGGGGTCCTCTCCAGACAAAAGGGGCTGTTGGAGCCGAAGTGAGGCTGCATACCTCGGAAGCAGAAGGCATGGTGCCGGGACAGTGGGTCTGGGAGGCCCGTCTGGTTAGGGTAGAGGTAGACCGTTCTCACGCCTGGCTTGTCCCCACCGCAGGCAGGCCTTGGGGTGACGATGGGGTAGCGGAGGCTGCCGTCGGCCAGCCAGCCGGCATAGCACTTGTCCAGGCCGCGGCTCCAGGCGGCGTAGAGCTGGCCCGTGGTGGCCAGCGTAGCATTGTGAGATTCACAGAACTCCAGTGCTTCCTGGAAGGTGAACTGCTCAAGGCGTGTGGCGAAGAACACCTCCCCTGGGGGCAGAGGCAAGGGGTAGAATATGACCCCCCCACACTCAGGCCAGGTCCATCCCTGCCCACCCAGGACAGAGTTCCTCTAACCCTCCTCACCAGGGCTAAGACCCAGCCCAGCTCCATCACCCCTTTTTTGACCACTCCCCCTTAGATTTTCTGGGACCCTGGGAAATAGGTGACCACCGCTCTGGTTTGTACTGGACTGGGGTTTCCCGGTACATAGGACTTTCGGTGCCAAAAAAGGCAAAATTCCCGTAAAACTGGGCTGAGTTGTTTCCACAACAACTTCTCCTCCGTCCCTCTTTTCTGGATTCTCCACTCACACTTAGGCACCCCCTCCCTTGGCTAAGCGAGGCAGCTCGCCTGGGCCCCCTCCAATCCCTTTGCACCCCTACACCACTGCACTTATCACTGTGACTGCTGTGGACGTGCTCACCCCACACCCTGGGAACTCATCCAGGGCAGGGGCTGGGTCCCAGCACCTAGCGATGTACCTGATACCTATCCGGTTTAGGGGGAGGAGGGCTTACACTTACTGAACACCTACTTGTGCCAAGAACTTTTCATACATATCTCATTTAATACTCAAAAAAACCTCTGATGTACATATAAATCAGCCCCATTTTATAGATGAAGGAGCTGAGGCCTAGAGAGGTTAAGTGACTTGCCCAGGGTCTTGAAACGAGTGAGTGGCAATGCCGAAATCTTTCTGGAACACCAGCATTTCCAAAATTGCGTTCAGTGGAAATTTGGTAATTTTCATGGAAATTAAAAGAAATGAAATAAAACAAAATAAAGGTCTGTGGTTAAAAATTGGGCAATGCTGAGTTAAAGAGAGTTAAGGAAGTTTTTCTTTTTCTTTCTTTTTAAATAAGTAGAGACCGGATTTGGCCATGTTGCCCAGGCTGGTCTCGAACTCCTGGGCTAGAGCAATCAACTCACATTGAGGCACCTCTGCCTCTCAAAGTGCTGGGATTACAGGTGTGAGCCACTGTGCCCAGCCTAAAAAGGTTTTTTGTTTTTGTTTTTACTGCAGGACTTCTCAGTGCCTTTGATTTGTGCCCAGGCATTGGGACTCTCCAAGAAGGAGTTGGTGTATATAGCGTTTATTTATAATAAACTGAGATTTACCCACAGACCTCATTGCTTTTTAAAGGGACTGATGCTCCCCTGCAATGCTGGAGGAGACCACATGAAACATTCAGTAGGAGAGCAGGCACTAGATCTGAGGGAGGGGCTGGGGGCCTTCCTTTTTCAGCAGGACCCTTTCCCACCTGGAAAGCTGGGTGGAATCAGGGGTGGGTGGGTGGTAACCCCCTCTCTTCTTTGTATCGCCCTGTCAGCTCCCTGCCCACCCCCTGCCCATCTAGGGCCCGAAATGTGAGAATGTGGCTTGTACCCTCAAGTCTGTCTACAAAGCAGTAGACATCGTAGGTCTCTGTTGATGGGCGCACGCCATAGGTCCTGACCCCTGGGCTGCTGTCCTTGTCACCCACGCATGGGGTCCGGGGGCTCACAATGGGGTATCTGCAAAGGAGAGTGGGAGGAGAAGATGAAGGCCTGTTCCAGGGGCTGGTAGATGCACGGCCCTGGGCTGAGGCCAGAGGCTACTCAGGGACTTGGAGATGTCTTCAGTTGTCTGGTGGTATTCAAACCAGGAAAAAGCCCCTTATGCAGCAAGTTCTCTGAGCAGCCTGGGGGAAGGATCTGGTGGCTCCTGGGGGATTTCTGGCTTCAGGAGAGAGCAGCTGCATGGAAGGGCACTGGGTCAGGCTGGAGGGGAACGGGGCACTTGAGGAGGGGGCTGCTGCCTCTGTCTGATGGGGAGAAATGACCAAGAACTGAACATTACTCGGTGCCCTTCACCACCCTTTCGGGATATGCCTCAGTTGAGTCACTAATTCATTCATTAACCCACAAGGTATTGGGTGCTCAGTGTGCTGGGGGCGGTGTCAGGCTGTGGCTCCTTAAGCCTGACCTCTTCAATTGGGTTTGGGCTGGGCGAGGAGCATGGCTTCACCTGACGGTCTGGTCCCGCAGCCAGCCGGCGTCACACTGCTCATAGCCTGCTTCGTAGGCGGCCTGGAGCTGCTCCGGCGAGGCAATGACCGCCCCCGTGCGCAGGCAGGCCTGCTGTGCCTCCTCAAAGGTCAGCGAGTAGCGGGTGGGTCCCGGGCGGTAGTGGAAGACGACCCCTGGGTGGGGAGGAGGGAGCGGTCAGGTTCAGGGACCCACGGTGTGCAGCTTCCAAGGCTCCATGGGCACAGAGGGGGGCCAACTCCTGCTGCCTGACATATTGGATTTATCTGGGCAATGCAGGCTGAAATCCCACTTGGTAGCCACGTGGGTGTGATGGTGGATGGCAGCGTCCATCTGCCCCTCCCCTGCGTGGGAACCCCACCAAGGCCATTACGGAACAAGGCCACACCAGAATGTCCTTGTTCATAGACTTGAGTTTGGGAAGCACTGGGCTCTATGCTACCTGACATCCCATTTTCACACATGTATTAAGCACCTAGAACACTGTCATCTTAGAACAGGAGTTGGAAGCGTTTTCTGGAAAGAGCCGAATGGTAAATATTTTAGGCTTTGTGGGCTATGTGGCTTCTGTTACAACTACAGTTATCCTTCGGGATCCAGGATCTCCTCAGATACCAAAATCTGCAGAGTCTCAAGTCCCTGATATACAAGTGTAGTATTTGTATAAAAGCATCTCTAGATTACCTATAAAACCTGATACAACGTCAATGCTATGTAAGTAGTGGTTATATTGTATTGTTTTAAATCTGTATTACTTTTATTGTTGTATTGTTGTTATTGTTTCTTTTCTTTTGGAATATTTTCCATCTACGGTTGGTTGAATCCAGACATGAAAGACTGACTGTATTCAACCTCGCTGTGATTGTCCTCAGTTAGTCATAGACAACTTGTCCACAGATGGCTATGGCTTTGTTCCAATCAAACTTTATTTGTGGACATTGAAATTTGAATTTTATATAATTTTCATGTGTCACAAAATATTATTTTTCTTTTGACTTTTTGCCCCTAACTATTTAAGAATGTAAAAATCATTCTTAAGTCATGGGCCATATGAGAACAGCTAAACCCAGCCCACTGGCCACAGTTTGCTGGCCTTTGTCCTGGGAGGTCAGAGCAGTGAGAGGCCTCAGGGGTCATCCAAGGCAGTGGTTTTCTAGTGGCTCTGTTTTGTTGGGGTGTCTGATGGGGCAAGGAGGGGCCCTGGACAGAAGGAGCCCAGTTGTTCTCCACGCTACTTCCCTTAGAACTATGTGGCACATGTGCCTGCTTGATACAGAGACTGGATTCCACATATGACCTCATTTGAAATAAATCCCTGGTGGCAAGAGTGTGGACCTGACTAGTCTGGCCTATTGTTTTTGTTCCACAGATGAGGAGAATAAGGTCTGAGAGGAGAGAACATTGTCCCACGTGCCAGGTTAAGTAGAAGGTACAGCCTTCAACTGCGGGAATCCCTTCCCTGCAGGCCAAGTTCTCTCCACCTGCCCCTGGATGCACCCACGGGCAGCTACTTACCCCCTGGCAAATGCGGCTGCCCAGGGACAGCGGTCACCTGCACGACGAGGTCCTCACTGGTGAATGCCGTGGCAGGGCCCAGGCCAGGTGTGGGAAAGCCCCAGGGCCTGGTGGCCTCTCCAGTCTCATTCTCAACCTCAGCGAAGGCAGTGGCCCCTATTTCAGGGGCAAACGTGAAGGGCTCCTCGGGTTCCAGGGGACTGGGGGAGACCTCGAAGATGGGCTTTACGGTAAGGATCACGCTGCCTCGGGCTTCACCCTCAGTGATGTTTCGAGGCAGTGGCAGCTCCATGTCAGGCCAGGTCACTGTCTGGACGGTGATGTCCTCCTCACCCCCCACTCCAAAGAAGTTTTCTGGGATGTCCACAAAGTCTTCACCTAGGGGAGGGGCAAAGACAAGCTTTAGCCTCTCAGCCTGGGACCGGCTTGAGGGGGATGAGGAGTGGGCTGGAGATGAGCATGGCTCCCCCTCCTTCCCTGCTGGGGCAGGAGGGCACCACTGTGTGCCAGGCACCTTGCCAAGCCCATTTCAGGGGTACTCAGCTATCGGCATTCATTGTAGGAGTCCCCACAGTTTCAAGATTGCAAGAGTGCAAGAGCTATCAGAGGGCAAGATATTGACCAATGAGCTGACGGCTCATAAAGATCAGTTCCCACCCCAACAGCCCTTCCTGCTCAACACAGCTGCTGCTTCACTCGTCTCATGAGCACCTTACCAACCATCTGATGCTGTAACTATCCAACAGGACCAGGTAAGTCAGTTATAAGGAGAAATCAGAAAATCTTGCAGAAAGTGCAGTTTGTGAAGTTGATGAAGGTGGCTTTGGAGAACTGCCTGTCTCATAGTCATGGAAAAATGAGGGTACCATGAGAGTGATACTACTTCCAAAAGAGTGGTTAGAATACCAAAAGGTTAAGAGAGGCTTCGAGGGGGAAATCCCAGCTATTAACCCTCTTCCTGTAAGATCAGGTTGTGGAAATGAAACGTGTAATGAGTTGTCATTGTGTTATCACCACTTAGTACATAAAAGTTTTGCAACTCCTCATTCATGTGAGGCATTGTTTTTTCCTCCAAGAATTAGCATGTAATTATAATTATAACCCAAAATGTGTTAAATGTAAGATAAAAACTTATTTGAACATTTTGGTCTAATTTTTCAAAATAAAGTCCCCATCAAACTTTCCCCTACTCTTTTCAATAACATTTTGTGGCCGGGCGTGGTGGCTCACGCATGCAAGCCCAGCACTTTGGGAGGCTGAGGTGGGTGGATCACCTGAGGTCAGGAGTTCAAGACCAGCCTGGTCAACATGGTGAAACCCATCTCTACTAAAAATACAAAATTAGCTGGGCATGATGGTGCACACCTGTAATCCCAATCTACCTGGGAGGCTGAGGCAGAAGAATCGTTTGAACCTGGGAGATGGAGGTTGCAATGAGCTGAAATAGCACCACTGCACTCCAGCCTGGGTGACAGAGTGAGATTCTGTCTCAACAATAATAATAATAATAATAAAGTAAAATGACATTTTGCCCAGCCTGGGCAACATGACAAGACCCCATCTCTACCAAAAAAAAAAAAAAAAAAAAGCAAAGCATGGTGGTGCCTGTATTCCCAGTTGCATGGGAGGCTGAGGCAGGAGGATTGCTTGAGCCCAGGAGGCTAAGGCTGCAGTAAGCTATGATTACACCACTGAACTCTTGCCTTGATGACAGAGTGAGACCCTGTCTCAAAGAAAAACAAAAAAACAAAACACAACAAAACCCATTTTGACCCTCCTTTTAGACATATTCAATTTAAAAAGGCAGATAGCAGCACCCTCCCATGGGTGCCAGGGTCACATGTCAGACCCCCAACGTCTTTGCAGGCGGGCACCCCATCTCCTCACTAGACAGATGAGAAGAGTGAGGTTCACAGCCTTGACTTTGCCAGGGTTGCACAGTAGTAGGTGACAGAGCTTTGATTCAAACTGGAGAAAACAGTTTGGAGGTTTTTAAGCCTCGTCTGTGCTGATCCGATGAGACAGAGCTAGATACGCTGCAGTCTCAAGAGTCTCTACCTTAGGGCTTCCTAGGAACCAGTGAAAATGGAGGGGTGTCCTAAAAACATGGGGTTCAGGTACCCCGTGGCCCCTTCAAGGGCAAAAACCAACCCTCCCTTTCCAAGATCCCCTCTTCCCTCTAGGACCCCATTTTAGTGGCATGAACTCCCTTCCCACCACCAGCCGTGCCCCACCTGTGTAGCAGATGGCGTCGTAGCGGGATGAGGGGTCGGGGTAGCCCGTCTGGTTGGCATGCACGTAGACGGTCCTCACGCCCAGGAGGTTGCCACCGCAGTTGGGCCGGGCCTTGGAGATGGGGTAGCGCACGCTGCGGTCGGCCAGCCAGCCGGCGCTGCACATGTCCATGCCAGCCTGCCAGGCCAGGTAGAGCTGGCCCGTGGTGGCCAGCCGGGCACCCAGCCGCCGGCACTCATTGGCTGCTTCCTGGAAGGTGAACTTCTCTGGAGATGTTGCATAAAAGACCTCACCTGTGAAGGACACAGCCAGCTGGGTAAGGGTCTTCTCCCCCCTCCCCCTGCTCTGCATCCCCAGAGAGATCCACACTTTTCCACGAGGTCTTGGGAGTCCTTTAACTTCCCAAAGTCCTGGTCCCATATGTCTGCATCTCAGATCTTGCCCTTCATTGCTTATTTCTGGGCTTTTGTGTAGGATGACATCAATTTCCTAAAACAAGGGGACCAAGAAAGAAGCAGCAAAAGTGGCAGGGAGATTGGGCAAAGGGTGGAGCAAACTTGAAATCTGGGAGGAAAATTCTGCTCAAAAGCCTCTTTGCCCCATTTGCATTCCACCACAGGGGGATCTTTCCTAGGAGTTAAGCATTGCCTACTCAAGGCAAATCCTTTTAAAAACCTCAAATTTTCCTGGGAAAAGCAGGCATCAGACCTTGAGCCCTTGGAGCAGTGGTTCCCAAACTGGGGTCTCTAGACCCTGAAGAGTCCGTAAGAGCATCATTCGAGGACCATGAGCTTAAAAAAAATTTCCCAAAATCTAACAAGGTTGTGTCAGGGGTAAGGGTAAGGGGTAAGGGTGGGGGCGGACGGCATCCACTCACAGGGGTGGTTCTGGCTACCCCTGCTCAGTGGCAGCTCTAACTGGCAGTTCTATTTGTCTTTGGTTAGCCAAATGTGGGAACACACAAATAACTTGTTACCTAATAGGCAGGTTTGCCCCCTGGGGTGGGAATGCGGCAGGGGGCCTACGATGGTGAGAAAGCCTGGCCGGGGCCCCTCACCCAGAAAGTGCCAGTTGTCAGCTCTTCTCCCCAGCCTGGAGGAGCTGTGGGCACTGTGCTCAGGTAGGGGGGAGGGGGGATGGGCAGGGAGGGAGGAGATAGACATTGCAGAGTCTGGAAAGTACAAAGGAATATATGGGTGCAGATGGGGGAAAGGGTGTCATCCACGTGCGTGGGTAACTCTGTGACTAAAACTGGTGCCCTTTACAAAACAGAAAAAGCCCAGGTTCCTCTCCACTGCCCCCAGCTCTGTCCAAGAACAGAGCTGGGGCTGCCCACAGGGACTCTGGGAGAGGGTGGCTGGGTGGCCAGCTGCCCTGGGAGCTTTGTTGCAGGTGTAGTGTCGCTTGCGAGGGTAAGGCTGGGCTGGACTTTGACAGCATGGTGGACCTTAGAACAGGGATGTGCTTGTCACAGCAGCCAGGGTCTCAGCTGGGAGGGGCAATCCCAGGTGAGAAACCTCCTGTGACATGTGCTCTTGGGTCCAGTGGCGACATCAGACATTTTGCAGATGTTGGGGCCACTGAGACCCTCTCCAAAGTGGAGTGCGAGGGGTGCAGACCTGTAGGCCTCAGCCCACCTCCCTTCATGGCAGAGGAGGACAGAGTGTGTCAGGCCCTGAGCTGGCAGCCTGTGTGATCTCAGGTGTCAGTGGGGAGATGGGGAGGGGAAGGTGGCCTTGGGAAGGGAGCTGGGTGCCTCCTGGTGGGCAGGGCAGCTCACCCTCCATCTCCTCGGCGAAGCAGTACACATCATAGGTCTCGTTGGTGTCTCGGATGCCATACGTCCTCACACCAGGAAACTCATCCTTGTCTCCATAGCAGCCTTCCCGGGGAGTGTGGATGGGGTATCTGCCAGGAACCCGAAATGGAGGTGTGACACTCAGGGGACAAAGGGAAGCCCATGGCCTCTGCCTTTGAATCCTCCTCCCGTGGGAGGAAACAGCAACTTAATATTGCATTTGACAATGTCTCTTCTGAATATGTCAACTGCCTATCTGTTTTTACAGTGAATCATGATTAAAGGCAGCCCCCACTACTGAATATTTAGTGGTACAAAACACACTTTCTCTATCAGGGGCTCACATATTTTTTTCTATAAAAGGCAAGATAGTAAATATTTTAGGTTTTGCATAGTCTCTGTGGTGACCACTCAACTGCCACTGTAGCGTGAAGCACCCACAGATATGCAAATGGGTGTGACTGTGTCCCAATAAAACTTTATTTACAGAAGCAAGGGGTGGGTTGGACTTGGCCTCTGGGCCATAGTTTGTTAGGCCTCACTCTATATCATTTGAGTCTCATGTCAACCCAGTGAGGTAGGTGCTATCATCAATCTACTTTACACTTGAAGAAACTGGGGCTCAGAGGTGTTAAATCATTTGTCCACAGTCACGCAGCTTCCAAGTGCCAGAGCTGGAATTTGAGTACAGTTCTTTTATTTTTTGAGACGGAGTCTCGCTCTGTCACCTAGGCTGGAGTGCAGTGGCGCGATCTCGGCTCACTGCAAGCTCCACCTCCCGGGTTCACGCCATTCTCCTGCCTCAGCCTCCCGAGTAGCTGGGACTACAGGAGCCCACCACCACGCCTGGCTAATTTTTTGTATTTTTTAGTAGAGATGGGGTTTCACCATGTTAGCTAGGATGGTCTCGATCTCCTGACTTCGTGATCTGCCCGCCTTGGCCTCCCAAAGTGCTGGGATTACAGGCATGAGCCACTGCGCCCGGCTGAGTCCAGTTCTTTATGCCCCCAGGTGTGGGCTCTTGCTCTATGCTAGACTATTATCTCATCTTTTTTTTTTTTTTATGGCTATAGTTTTTGTATCCTAAGATCTGTTTTCCTACCCCGAGACTGCAAAGACATTTTCCTTCCTGAGGCTTTGTGTTTTTGGCTGTTGGAGCTATGATGCTCCTGAAATGGGTGATATCATCTTGCCTTCACAGTGCATTGAGATCCCTTGAGGGCAGGGTCTATCTGGACTGCTCTGCACCTCACTCCTCAGCAACTACGCTCAGGGAAGGATGTACCAAGGGGTTCAATTTATAACTTGCCTTATTAAAAACAAAAAGGATGGAAGTTTGTTTATAAAAATACAGAGGACACCAAAGTTTAAACGTGAGGAAATCATGGCAAAGAAAAAAATGGGTAGGAAAAATAATGACATGTAGGGCAAGGTTGCTAGCAGTCCCTCATCCCATTTGCAAGAGAGAATCACAATAACAAGGGTTTGGGATGGGTCATTGAGCTGCTGTTTGGCCAAGGTGTGACCACGGCCTCTAACCTAGGCTGGCCACAGTGTCATGCTGGCACCAGCTCAGTGCTGGCCAACGTTCCACCCAGCACCCGCCCCACTCCCCTGTGGCTGCTGACTCCTGGCCCCCACTAGCTGATGGGCTAGGGCTCACCTGACAGTCTGGTCAGCCAGCCAGCCGGCGTCACACTGGTGGAAGCCGTCTTCGTAGGCGGCCTGCAGCTGCTCAGGCGTGGCAATGATGGCACTGTTCTGCAGGCAGGCCCGCTGCGCCCTGTCAAAGTCGAGGGTGTAGCGTGTAGAGATGGCTCTGTAATGGAACACGATGCCTGCAAGACACATACACGCCCACAAGCGGAAGAGCTGGTCAGGCACAGTCTCTGATCACCGAGGCCCTCGCAGAATTATGGCAATAGTCAAAGGGACCTTAGGGAACTGGCTGGTCTGGGCTGATGCATGACTCCCTGTACACCTTTGCACGTGATCCTTCTGAATTTGCTGGAACACCCTGTAATGGGGAGCTCACTACTTTATAAGGCATTCCTTTTTAAAGACTTATGATAATACTGATAAAGAGAAAGTTCTTTGAATTAAACTAAAATCTGCCTCCTTATAATTTTTTCTTATCACTCCAAGACCCCCATATTGCATTAAGAGAAACAGACACTCAGAATGCCCTGCACCCTCAGCCCAGGGCCACCCTAGTGGAAACCTCATTTAAGGTGTGCCCAGGAGTGAACTGTCTTTGACAGAGTCTCCCACTGTACCTCCCCCTGGGAAAAATCTGGTGTTGACCAAAGTCCTGAAGCTAACCAAAGACCTGACTGTTCTCCTTGGGCCATGGAGAGAAAGAGACCAGGGAGTCTTCAGCCCTTGCTTTGGCTTCTGGAACTGAGAATAAGAGTGGAGAGGGGGAGGGAAAAGACACCAGGATGAACTGTCAGGAGACTGCTCTGACTCATTTCCAGGGTAACCTCAGGCAAGTCACTTGCCCTCAGTTTGCTTGTCTGTAAAATGGGCACGATCACAAGACCCACCGGATCACAGGATTCTTGGGAAGCACAAACTGTCAGTTACCTGTGACCACAGCCAGGAAGTATTTAATGCTCCCTAAGTCCAGAGAGAATGATATTACCAGCTCCATGTCACAGAGGAAGCAGCTGAAGTTAAGTAACTTGGCTGAGGTGCGTGGAGGAGCTGGTTTGAAGGCCAGCCTGCCTGCGCCTGCACTGCGGAGACTGCTCTGGTTCTTTATGTGGGTGAAGCAGCGTCTGTCCCTGTGGGAGGCTCTCACCTTTCACCACGACTTCCAGGGTGGCCTCGCTGTCCTCGATGCCATGCATCACCTCGCAGCGGTAGACCCCAGAGTCATTGGAGCGCAGGCTCTGGACTTCCAAGGTGGCGTCACTGGGGATGGCCGGGTAGTTGGGCAGTGAGACCTTGTCCTGATAGGCACTGTTGACCCGCACGCGCCCTTCAGTGGCCACCAGCAGCACTACCTCCTTCTCCTTGGACACACGGCTCCACTTGATTCTTGGGGCCAGTGGGGCGGTAGAAGGGGCGGTGGTCACAGGGTGCATGGGGTCGATGAAATAGCAGGGGATGGTGAGGGAGGTCCCCAGGAGGACCCTCAGCGGGGACGGTTGGGGGATGCTGACACTCAGCGAGTTGTCATGGTCTGTGTGGGAGAGGTGGGGTAGAAGAGAGACCTGTTAGTGCCTAGAGAGGACCACCCCGCCTCCCCATCCATCCTTCCAGCAATGCACTCTCCTGAGAGAGCGAAATCCGATGAGTGTGTCTGTCTCTATGATGGGGATGCTCCCGTGTCATGTGGGAATTCCCAGAAAGGCTTGCCACGCCCTTTCCAGAGCAGTGTTCCTCAAGACCCCTGGCCTCTGCATCTCGAGACAGAAACTATGGAGCTAGAAAAGGATTCCAGAGGAGGGAGGGGAGACGTCAGAGTCAGGACCAACTCCCTGTTTCTCAAACTGGGGTACTGCAGTGGGCACCAAAGCGTGGAATAAAACAGGACCCATCTCCTTGGAGTGACAGCTTAACTCAAAGATTTTGGGAAAAATTATGTTGGGGTAGAAAAGTAATCTACACAATTTTAAAGCTGAGACAGAAAACTTCTAAGATGTGTCCCATTTGGGGAGGTCTGCTTTTGGGTGCGAGCCTGATTTTGCCACCGGGACAAGTCACTCTCTTCTGCTGTTTGGGAGTCAGGGGACTCAGGTGGAGAAGCATCCGAGAAGATCAGACCTTTTGGTGTGCAAACAGTCAGATGCAGGAGAGGCGATGGGATAGGATCAGACTCCAAACATGTTAATATAATGGAGAGTGTCAATAGAGGAGGTGCAACAAGCTTACCAAATCTTGTTAGAAACAAAAGATCTGCTGGGAATGGGGAAAAAAAAAAAAGAAAAAAAACAGCTTTCCAAAAAAAAAAAAAAAGCACCTTTCATGGAGACTCATACATTTATGAAACCTGTTCTTTCATGGGGGCCTACAGGTTGAAATAAAAAATGTTTCAGATATTTGTGGGTTGTAGATACATCACAGGGCAAGGGGAGGGGAGCGAGGAATGCTTAGAGTCCAGGCCTTAACCTTCTGATGTCCTGGGCAGTCCCACTGGCCCCTTCCACAGGCATCTTCCTCCGAGTGCTGGGCCCTCGCACCCTGGACATGGCTTGGTTTTAGCAGTAGTGGTTCTCAGGGGAGAGCTGAAAGGGACTGTCGTGCCCAGCTCAGCAGTTTTTAAAGCCCCACTCAAACCTAATGAACTGGTTTCCCTGTGTGGGCGGACCACCCCTGGGTACAGCCAGGGGCTGCATGGCTGTGGGTCTCCCAGCAACAGTACAAATGAAGGCCCTTGTCCCATATGTCTACAGATGCAAAAGTTGTAAATCAGGCCAACAGATTGTTAAGTTCTATGTCCTATCTTCCTATTTGACAATGGTACCTTTCAAAATGACCTGAAAGCACAGATTTAAATTCAGAATTCTTGGATTACTTGGTGTTTTGCCTTGGGCTGTAGTGGCTGGGTGGGAGCATGGGGAGCTGGGCCGCCTTCTTTTTCCCACACTGACTGCACTGTGAGGGGGTCTCATGTGCTGCTGTGCTTATCTCAGCCCCACAGCCCTGCTCTGCCCACACCCCATACAAACAGCCACTCCTTGGCCCCTCCCTTGGGCCCAGGGTGGCTCCCACCAGGGGTATGGTGTCCCCGTAGGAGGATGGACCCATGCAGGCCCTGGATGTGGCCTGGGCCCACTTGGAGGGGAAATTCTGGGCATCCTGGGACCCCAGAATGTGCTCTAAAGGGGAAGTGCAGATTTGGGCAGACACATTGGCCCTGCTGACTCCCCTTCCTTTGGAGAGGGTTGAGGCTGGAGGATGGCCAGTGGGGGCCTCTAAAATACACAGCCAAGAGCAGAGTCCTCTCTTGTCTGGGCCTGGGGAAGACATACCTTCCCTTCTGGGGTCAAGCCCATCCTGGGGTCAGTGGAAGTTTTGCTCATTTGGTCCAATGCTGGATTAGCAGTAGACCCAGTGCCTTCCACATGCACGAGACCAGGCTGGGGCTTCCCGAGGATGGTTTGCAGAAAAGGCAAAGACCTGTCTGATTCCCTGGGGCTTTTCTCTGGCTGTCTCCCAAGTGACCTTTCTTCTTTGGTGCTCCAGCCGATCCTCCCTCAATGGTCCTTTCTCCACTGGTTTGTCTATGTCCTGCCCCTCCGGCAAGCTCAGTGCGCAGCAGTCCTCACTGAGATCCATGGAGGGAAGGAGGGCACCTGCCGGGAGCTCTCCCTGCCAGCTGTCGGGGCTTGAGGGCAGTCAGGAGCAGTGTTATCTGAGCAAGGCTCCTGCAAGAGTGTGCCCGCGCATGGGTGCTATCCCATCACAGTTATGCATGCATCAACAGGGGAAGGGTGGGGCCAGGAAAAGTCCAGGAAAGGGGAAATTATATCCCTGGGACCAGTAGCACCAGGTTCAGTACCCAGTACTCAAACCCACTACTCATGCCTACTGAATACGTGAAACATGTATAGGAATGTCCTCACCTGAAGTTTCTACAGTGACAGCTGCAGTGATGACCCTCAGAGTCACGAAAACCCAGAGTAAAGTGGTCATAGTTCACCTGGAAGAGGGGAGGCAGAGGCGTTATTTAGACAGTGAAGGCATGGTGAGGTCAAGCAGAGTCATGTGACATATGATGCAAAGTGATAATTCCACACCCAAGGACCTGGAATCATCTCCAGAGAAGGAGGCTGCACGTGGTTTGTGAGATATTTTCTTAAAAAATCCTTCCCTCACAAAACCTTCACAGGTTTCTCAGTTTAATTCCGGGCATTAGGCTAATAAACCTAACCTCCCATCTTTCAGCCAGTGAAGTCTCATCTGAATGAGTTCCTGTGATGGTTAATTGTATGAGTCAACCTGACTGGGCCGGGGCAACCAGACATTTGGCCAAGCATTGTGCTGGGTGTGTCTGTGAGGGTGTTTCTGGATGAGATTGACATTGGAATTGGTAGATTGAATAAAGCAGATGGTCCTCCCTAATGTGGGAGGGTCTAGTCCAATCAGTTGAAGACTGAATAGAGAGAAAAGACTGACCTGTCCTGAGAAAGAGAGAATTCTTTGTGCTGGATGGCCTTTGAGCTAGAACATTGCTTTTTCTTCCCTTTGGACTTGAATTGAAACATCTGCTCTTCCTAGGTCTCAAGCTTACTGACTTTCAAACTGAAACTACTCCAATCATTTCATTTAGGTCTCAAGCCTTCAAACTTGGACTAGAATTACACCACCAGGTCTCCTGGTCTAGCTTACCAACTTATCATGCAGACCTTGGGACTTGCCAGCCTCTATAATTGCATGAACCCATTCCTTATAATAATTCTCTCTCTCTCTGTCTCTCGTGTGTGTGTGTGTGTATGTGTGTGTCTGTGTGCGTATGTGTGTGTCTGTGTGCATGTGTCCTATTGGTTTGTTTCCTTGGAGAACCCTGACTAACACAGTCCTTCAGGCCCAGAGAAGTGATGAGTTGCTCAACATCCCTAATGAAACTTGGGCCTGCCACCAACTTCAAATCCAGAGATCACGTGTGTTTTAGAATGGACTAGCCTCCAAGGTTTCAGGCAAGGTTTAGGGGCCTGGTTCATGTCAGGGAAAAGATGTTCACCTAGAGAGCTCTTGAGGAGGTTATGGGATGAACGGATTAATATTTTAGGAGAGAAATTAGACCTAGGAAGCTGTAGCTCTCCTGCTAGATCAATGACTTCATGTGGATTAGAAAGACAAACCTTCCTTATCGTCATCTGCTGTAAAGCTGTCATAATAAGTACACAGGTCTGTGACAACCGCAGTGTAAAGGTGCACAATTGGAACCCTGACTCCAGCATAGGTGGACCCAAGAAGACCCAAGAGAATGTACAGGAGACCCACCAGAGCAGTGCTCTCAACCTCAGCTGCACACTGAAATCACCTGGGCTTCAGCCTGGACCTCAGGATTTTTAGAGCTTGGAAGGTTCTAAGGTGCAGCCAAGATGGAGCACCGCTGGCCTAGAACACGTGCAGTCCCATTACAGACACCTCCTGTGACCTTCCCTCCACGGTGCATGCCTGGTGATGTTCCCCGAGTTGTTCTGTTGGATGGACTTGCATCAGCACCTACCCTCCCCTTTTGGTTTAAGAAGTGCTTGCATCACAGAGGGAGGGAACCTTGGAGCGGATGGAGGATCTGGGACTAAAGAAAAGATTGGAGATTTCAGCAACTCTCGCCCGTGGCATTCCCAGACTTTTGCTCTATCAGAGTCCAGTGGCCCAGCAGGTGTCGCTCTTGGCTCAGTCACCGCCGGCTGGGGCTGGATGGATTTGGGGATGAGGGGGGCACCCCAGGAGTCCCTAGGCTCAGGAGGGGTGTTGGGAGGGCACTGGTGTTCCCATCCAGGAATGCCAGGGGCAGGGGCAGGGTGGGCCCAGGACTCCGAGTGACCCTTTCTTCCTGTTGATTGAGTGTGTCATCTTTCTACCACCTATGCTACATATACGAGTCACCCCAGAAATGAAAGGGCTGTCTGTGGGTGCTGCTGGGGGTATGGCGTGAATGCATGAGGCACGTCATCCTCACACTGGAGAAAGTCTGGAAAATCCCAAAGTTCTGAGAAGTAGCCCCTGTGTCTCCTTAGGGATTTTTCTACCTAGATGCTGCCTTTTAAAGAAAAGTCTCTGGCTGCAGGCTGTGGCACCATGAGGGGCTCTGGTTCAAGCCCCATGTGACGAGTTGCGGCTGGGAAATAGTTCCCCAGAAGGCAGAGGGCAAAGTGTCTTCTCCACTCTGGGGAGGGGTCTAGACTTTCCGGCTCCTCTCTTCCCAGAGCCTTAGGGATTCGTGTTCAGACACAAGGCCCGCCTGTTCTTCCCTCAGAACACCCTTCATTGGGAGGTTGTGTGTATGTTTTCGGAGCTGTGTTTCTTCCCTCACTCTCTGAACAAGCTGGACATTGTCCGGGGGTGTAGGAGTGCTCTGTGGGGCTTGGACGGCTTGATTTCTCTCCCTGGCCTAAACCAGGAAATGGGAAGGAATGAAAAGAGGTGGGGAGGAGAGTGGGGGTAGGGGGATAGGGGTGGAGTGGGCAGAGAAACTAATTTTATTTCTTTTTTTTTTTTAAAGACAAACTTTGGGATAGAAATATCGCAATAAATATGCTCTTGTGTTTGTGTGTGTTTTCTCAGCTGTAAAGAAAATAGGGAGAAATTCCATTCTGTCTGGCTTCCAAGTGTCTCCAGGACTCACTGAGCCTTTTATGCGAGAAGACTGACTTTGGCAGCCCTGAGTCCCAGCACGGCCCTGTCAACAGGGAGGCCTTTCTCCATGGGAAGCTGAATTAGGTGCTGACAGGGCGACAGCATAGGTGAGGCAGAGGAAGGGGACGGGGAGCCTGAAATGAAGTGGAGAGGGGAGCTTGGGGAGCAGGAAGGGGATGCTGGGTGAAGGCCGGGTGAGAGTCATGTGGTTTGGGTTCATCACCAGGGAATTGACTTTCTCAGAGAGCATTATGTGGAGATTTGGTAGGGGAAAGTGAGGTGCTTTTAGCTTGAGCTGAGGCTATGTGTCTGTGTGAGCATGCGTGCATGTGTCCAGGTTGCAGACAAGGAAACCTTCACCTCCTCATCAGCCAGACTCTACCCCATGGTTGTCTACCTGGCCAAGGTCTTGGCCTGGATTCCATCAAATTATGGGATTGAACAGGCAGCTCACCCACTCTCCCTGAATGCATCTTCCAGCAACATGTGCAGTGGAGACCCCTCCTCGACGTGGGTGGACGCCTACTGCTTAATAATCTAGGACCTGCCCCACGGCTGTTTCAAAGACTGAGTGAGATAATGTGACTGCCATCATCCCTCCTCCAGGCCGGACACTGTTTCTTTGGCTCTGCACCCAGCACAGGCTCTGGCACTCAGCAAGCATCCATCAGTGTAACTTTCCTCCCACCTCCCTGGTTGTCAGGCCTGAGTGAGCCTCTCAGAACTGGGGGATTGGAAGAGAGTTTAGTGGTTGTAGAGAGGCTTCCTGTCCCAGGATGAGGGTTGGACCAGATGACTTTCCATAAATAATAAAACTGCATTCATTTCAAACACAACATTATCATACTACCAAATATTTGGAAAATAGGACAATGGGGAAAAAAATGACCATCATCTACAATCCGAATCCTCATTATTAGTGTTTTGATAGTTTGCCTTCTAGTCATCCAGGCTGGAGTGCAGTGGCATGATCTTGGCTCACTGCAACCTCTGCCTCCCAGGTTCAAGCAATTGTCCTGCCTCAACCATCGAGTAGTTGAGACTACAGGTGTGTGCCACCATACCTGGCTAATTTTTGTATTTTTTGGTAGAGACATGGTTTCACCATGTTGGGCAGGCTGGTCTCGAACTCCTGTCCTCAAGTGATCCACCCACTTTGGCCTCCCAAAGTGCTGGGATTACAGGTGTGAGCCATGGTACCTGGCCATTCTAGTCTTTTTTTTTTTTTTTAAGGTATCTACTTGTGTTTTTCTGTAATTGCAATCTTTTTGCATGCTATTTGTCTTTTCCACATAATACAATGGACCACACAACTTCTTTTTTTTCATTCCTTCACTACTGACGATCATGATGCTTTACAATAATGACCTCCCTGGCATGAATCCTGTATATACAGCTCAGCCAGGTGGTCTTTGGCCTCTGATTGCATGTTAGGTGCTCATTCCATCACAAGGTGGCCCATTCCTTGGCTGAGCAGCTCCAATTGTACTCAAGAACTTTCAAGATTGAGTCAAAATGGCTCAGCCACATTATAATTTACATCCAAGAGTTCCACCATCAGAAGCCACCCAAAACACATCCCCTCCTCTTTCATGGGACTCATGGTGAATCTTCAGAGGTCCAATCTGCTTCCTGCCTGCTGTTCCTCCATGGAGACATTCCTGGCCCCTCCAACCAACGCTTCCTCCTGTGGCGGCCTTCTGGACCTCTCTTTACCCCCTGGAGCCACAGAAGGTCTAAGCTGTGAGAGACCTTAGTGAACATCAAGCCTAACTTCTTCATTTTACAGATGAAGAAACTGAGGCCCAAGGAGGAGGCTGAGTTGCTCAAGGCCATATGGTAGGTTGGAAGTGGAGCCCAAACCAGAACTCAGTGCCAGGGGGCCTGGCCCTCATAATTCCCAGCATTAATGAACTTCACAAGGTAGCTGCTGTGTCTGTCTTGTTCCCCACTGTCTCCCTGGCACCCAATGTAGTGTGTGGCACAAAGAGAGGAAATTGCTGAATGAATGAATGGACAAATGGCAGCCCGTACGTCTTAGAAGTGATCTCCTTCAACCCTAGGCCTTGGGGGGCGGAGGGCTGAGGATGGGACTGGAGGCTCACATGTGATGAGCACCTAGGTGGTGCCCAGCCAAATGAGGTAGACCCCTTCACATTCAGTAAGTCTCAGGTAGAGACACGCTGCTTCCTTGTGATGTGCATGGCTGTATTGATTAATGATAGCGCTTTAGTGCAGCATGTGATTTTGGGAAGGTCACAGGCCATGTGCGGCCCAGAGGAGGAACAATCAGGGTCACCCCTTCCCAGGGCTCCAAGGAGAACCAGTGTTATGCTACAGCCAATTGGCACCAGCCGGCCAGAGTCCATTTTATGCATCTCTTTCAAATTTTGTGTTCGGTGACATCACACTGGTAGTTTGAAACTGGTTATGATGGATATCAGCAGACACTATCAACGAGGTGAGACTTCTTCTTTTTCTTTTTCTTTCTTTTCCTTTTTGAGAGTGGATTTACCAGCATACTACTGGACGTAACTACAGCCATGGGCCACATAACATTTCAGTCAACAACAAACTGTACCTACGATGATGGTCCTGTAAGATTCTAATGGGGCTGACAAACGCCGATCACCTGGTGATCACCTGGTGATGCTGCAGCCGTTGTAGCGTCATAGTGCAATTACTTTATTTATTTTTACAAATTTAGTGTAGCCTAAGTGTACAGTGTCTATAAAGCCTACACCAGTGTACAATAATGCACTAGGCCTTCGCATTCACTCACCACTCAGTCACTCACCCATCCAGAGCAACTTCCAGTCCTGCAAGCTCTGTTCATGGTAAATGCCCTATAGGTGTACCATTGTTTATCTTTTATACAGGATTTTTACTGTATCTTTTATAGGTTTAGATAGGTTTAGATACACAGAGGGAAGTATTTGTGTATACACAAAGGCAAGTATTTGTGTATCTAAACCTATCTACACATACAAAAGGTACAGTAAAAATACAGTATTCAGTACAGTAACATGCTGTATGGGTGTGTCACCTAGGAGCACTAGGTTATACCATATGGCCTAGGAGTGTAGTAGGCTGTACCATCCAGGTTTGTGTAAGTACACTTTAGTGGAGGGGTCTCCACTGCACATGTTGCTGGATGACAAAATTGCCTAAGAATGCATTTCTCAGAACGCATCCCTGTTAAATGTTGCATGACTATAATAGTAAATAAAGAAACGGGCTGGGGAAGGATAATGAGCACTTTTCTTTCCTTTGAATGAAGCCTCATTCTCCATTCATTGTGCTGTCCTCCATGTGTCCCTGGGGACATTGAGGCTGGCCCTAAAACCAAGGCCAGTTTGCCAGCCCTAGGGTATGGTCAGGAAATGTTCATCTCCATGTCACCTCCCCTGGCCCAGCGTGAGTCCACATCAGTGTAGACTCAGCAAATGTTTGCTGGCTACGTGAACGCCCACCCTCCTCTCCCAGATCCTGCAGGCCTCCTCCCTGAAACCTCACCAGGCCTTGGCCCTGGGTTGTATTCCCCCCAGCTATGACTTTCTACACACTGTTTAGCACCCAATTTTTCTTCTGTTGTTTTATGTGTGCTAACTCTGTCTCATCACGCAGACTGTGACCTCCTAGAGTTTGAAAATCAAGTCTTAAATGAAAACAAAATCCCTTTATGCTAACTCACACAGTACCAGGAATAACACAAAATGGTATTTGACACCTCCTTGTTAGATGAGTAAGTAGACGTTGGGGTTTGGTAGACTGGTAGACCAGTAAGATTTGCCTGCGACCAGGTGGCTCTGTGTCCCTGACTTAAGTCCTAGAAGATGGATTCGAAAGGACCAAGGTGCCCCATTCCTGTAGTCACCAGTCACCAGCACATCACTTATTTGCAGCCTAATCTCCCAATAGCACCTTTTCTCTTGTCACTCGCTCATGAACAAGATCATCCTGATAGCTGTGCATAAACGCAGTAGCATATGCACTCGAGGCTGGGATTTCAAACCCAGCATAGGGAAAAGGCCAGGGACCCTACACCAAGAGCATATCTGGCCAGAGTCACCCCAACTGCAGCTGTTAACTTCCCACATATTCTAAACAGACGTGGTGGGATGGTATAGAAACGGGAAGCCAGGAAGCTGATTTCAGTCCCAGCTCTGTCCTAACTCACCAGGAAACTCATGTAAGGCCTCAGTTTACAGTTTTCCCTTCTGTAAATTGGGATCATCATGCAAGCATCACCCCCAGGGAAATTGTGAAGGTAATTTTTGTAGCTGCCAATACTCTTTTGATATTTCCTCCTCTTTCTCTTCTCCCCACCTTCTTCAACACCTTGTCTTTTTCCGTATCTTTGATTTCCTTTTTCCAAATTTGTTACTTGCTCTGTCATCACTGAAGCATCTTAAATCAAATTCCATGTGTTTTTCTCCATTCCGGGCAAGTGTGTAGGTCCTGTGAAACAGACAGTTGGCAGCAGGGTGGGGAGTGCTGGAGATAAACCCTTCAAGGCCATACTTTTGTCTAGGATTGGCCTTGAGCAGCTCTGTGCTAAGACAGAGGGGCCCAGTGAAGGGAAAGAAAGGTTTTTCCTTGGAGTTGCTTCTAGCCTAGTGAGTGCAGACAAACCTGTATCCAGAGATAGCAGACATGAGTGAGTCGGCTCTGGGTCCTAACCTTGGCCCTGACTAAAATGGCTGCCTGACCCGGAGCCTCGGATTTTCCATCTCTGAAATGGGGGCAGGTGGGAGAATTAACTCTGGAGTTCCCTGAGATTCCAAATGCCAGCTCCACGCAGTGCAGAGAAGAGTTCCACCTTTTTAACTTCTGGGAACAGAAGGAACTGCATCTCCACCCTCTCAGCCTCCCTCATGGCCAGGGACCTGCTCATTGCTTGCTGTTCTGCTGCAACATCCAGGGCAATGCACAAGGGTTTCGCTTGCCTATTGAGCACATTCTCTGGGAAGGTCCAGCCTATTCAGAAAGATGCCCCCATGCCCTCACTGTGCTAGGGACGAAAAGGCAGAAAGGAGAGTTGTGAGGTTGGGAGGGTGGTGCACACATCTAACAGAAGTGAGGGGAGGCTCTCTGGGGAGCAAAAAAAAAGGCTCGGGTAGTGGAGCTGCGAGAAAAGAAAATAAGAAACCGAGAAATGACACCACGGAGAGTGTCATACCTGCAGGTTATACTTGTTACCTGACTGCCGATGTGGCATGGGTCTTATCCCCTGGCAGTGCCCTATTTGAATCTGGGGCTAGGGTCTGGCCCTGTCCTTTCACTCCCTTCTTTTGCTCACACAGTTCCATTCCTTCAAAAAACACCCTCTCTTTAGCTCTATGTCTGACCTATTCCCACCTTCCTTGAGGCCCCATGCAAATGCCACCGCCTGGAAACCTCCCCCAGCCTGAAACGCTCTCCTGTCTGCCTGTGTCCTTTGTCATTTCTTGTTGTTATGACCAACTTATTAGCAGACTCATCTTGGCTTGTGGCTTCTTTCCCACTTTTGTTTCAAACTACTAGGCCAACCACTTAAGGGATGTGTGCATGGGTGGGTGCGATGGCCAGGGTGGGAGCAGGCCCTGGTGCAACAGAAAGAGCATGATTGGGAGTCAGACAGATGTGGCTGAATCGCAGCTCTGACACTTTCCTGTGAGCATATGACCTTGGCTCAATTATTTAACCTCTCGAGGCTCAATTTCCTTACCTCTAAAGTGCTGATTAGATAGGATCTATCAAATAGCATAGGACGCTGTAGGACTTAAATGAGAGATGCTGAGTTGGCCTCCTTTCTCAAGGTTTGTCTGGCTGGTTCCTCCCTCACTGAGGAGCAAGAACACCTGCATTGTGTATGCCCCTCACTGCATTTCAACTAATATGGATACACCAAGCACCTACTATGGGCACTGAGGTCAGTTTCTGCACAAAGTAGCCACCCAACTAATGGGTGCTAGCCTGATAAAAAGTGCCACTCACATGCAATTTGCATCTATATCGAATTTAAATGATGGTCCAAGTGAATGGGGCACTGAGGTCAGTTTCTGCACAAAGTAGCCACCCAACTAATGGGTGCTAGCCTGATAAGAAACACCACCCACATACAATTTGCATCTGTATCTAATTTAAATGATGCTGTAAGTGAATGGTCATTTGTTCTGCAGTGACAGCAAACAATGGGGCCCCCCACCCCACCAACTATTTTAGCCTAGGGATCATTCCTCTATTCACCCCAGGACTAGGATGTGAGTTCAAATAAAACTGTGGACTGTAAAGGAAGAGCCTAATCTGCCACTGCCGTCTCCACGGCTTGCCACAGAGCTCTTGGAGCTTCTCTGTGGTCAGGGAGGGCAGTCACCCCCTCTCTATCTTCAGGCAACAGTGGGCATTTTATAGCCAGAATCCACTTATGCCATGGCTTCAGGAACAATCTAGGGGCCATCTTTAGGAAGGGCCTGCTGTATGTCAGGAACTCCTCTCTGAGCTGTACATGTGCCGTTTCTTATCCTTAGAACAGTCTTCATAGGAAGGAAGACAATGGCTCAGAGAGGTTAGACAACGTGCCCAAAGTCACACAGATAGTGAGTGGCTGAGTTTGGTTTGGAATCCAGGTCCTGTGGCTACAATGCTATGGTTTTCTCAGCATTTACAGTCCCTTTACGCTCATTAGCTTTACTCATTAATTCCATTATTCAGTCAACAAACACATTTCAAGGGGGAGACAACATACTAGGTAACAAATATAAATCAAGGGGGATATGGGGAATGTTCTCATGGAATTTCAGATCCGGAAAGTTTTAGGGGTTGGTAGATGGGAAAATGCATCACTAATTAGTTCACGAGAGAGGGAAACCCAAATCTCTTCCAGTTCTGCCCAGGAATATGGGCAGAGTGCCTGGAATATGCGCACGGTTGGTGGGATCTTGCCAATGAGTAACACAGGGTCCATTTTGGAGGAGGGGGTTCCCAAGTGGGACTCCTGATCCACTCCTGGACCTTCCATCCACAGGGCAGGGCCCTGCTGGGGCTCTGAGTCCTGGCTTTCCCTGTGTCTCCAGGGGTCCCCTGCAAAGCTGGCTCCTACAGCCCAGCATGGTGGCTCTTCCACAGTGTCCTTCAGGCAAATTTCCCAGGGGCTCCAAAAAAAAAAAAAAAAAAAGAAAAAAAAGGCCACTATACAAATGCCCTGCTCCGTGGCAGGGCTGCAGACAGTCCTGTTAACTTCCTCCAGGGGTTTTCAGGATGAGCTTTTTCAAGAGCTCTAATCAAGTCATTTCTGATTAAATGGGCTATGTCTCAGCCAGCACCTACAAAAGCATGATCATCATCTGCTCAAAAATATCTGGATTCCTACTAGTCAACCTGTGGGTAGTCAGTAGAGCCCCCCGACGTGAGCTGAGTCTCTAACCTTTTCTAAAGTCCCATCCTACCATGAGAGACCGCGTACCTCTGGCAGTTGGAAGAGCTGACCAACTCCTGCTGCTTCCTGTGTTGCTGATCACAGAGGGACAGGGAGAGGGGTGTTTTGAAGCCTCTTCGAAACTTCAGCTTCAGAAATCAGCCCACGGAGCTGTTTCTGCCACTGCCAGTCCGAGGCCAACCTCACTGTCCTGACCAGGAGCCAGGCGGATGCTAGTCAAACAATAAAAACAGAGCTGGCCTTGGTTTGCCGAAGGCCTGTGTGAGCTTTTAGGTGAAGGTTCTGCCTGCTTCTGGAGGTGGGGGTGGGCACAGTAGGAAGTGGAAGGAGCAGGCTGGGGTTTAGGACGTGTAGTACAGAAATACTTGAAAAGATGACATCAATCTCTCCCCTCTCTGGCCTCTCTGTCGTGATTCCCTTCACTCACTGATCTATGTCCCTGCTAGTAATACCTCTTTGACTTGGACCTGTTGGGACAAGAGATACGCTGTTCTTCATCCTCTCTCTGAGGTCCACTTTGGACCCAGTCTCTATGCAGTTTCCTGAATAGCCTCTTCTCAAGCCTCTTGGGAGATAACATGGTACACTAGAAGGTGGGTATCTTAAGAACACAACCTGAATTCATACCTTTGACTCATAATGTACTATCTAGGTGAATCTGGGGAAGTTTCTTGGCACCTTTGGCCAGAATTTTCATAGGTGAGGCCTCTGGAAATTACTTATTTCCAGTTAGGAGAAGAGATACAGAGTGATGATTCCTTGTGGCAACTTACTTGGAACTTCCTCTTATTCCTTCCAAGTCACCCACCAGAAGTCCTCGTGTTCCCTGGGTAGTCTGATCCTGCTGGAGGGGGTGGGAGCAAAAGGGAGCTTGGCCTATGGACTTCATGGCAGAAAAGGATGAATGTTCTTGGAGAAAAATCCAGCTCCTTCCCAGGGCCTGTGAGGCCCCATGTGATCCGCTCCTGCTCCTGCTCAGATCACTATTCCCCAAACCCTCAACCCCGCCACATTCTAGCTGTGCCTTGACCACACGAGCTGATTTTGTCCTAAGGGTTTTGTGCTTGCTCTTTCTTCTTCCAGCACACACTTCTGGATCTTTCCCTCGCTGGCCATTGTCATTCTAGCCTGTTTAAATGTCCCTTCCTTGACCACCCTGCTCCCCTATCCCTCCCTCCCTATCATGTTACCCTGTTAAAGTCTATTTATAGCTTTTTTTTTTTTGACAGAGTCTCGCTCTGTCAGCCAGTCTAGAGTGCAGTGGTGCTGAAGGCCTGTCAGATCTTGGCTCACTGCAACCTCCACCTCCCGGGCTCAAGCAATTCTCCTGCGTCAGCCTCCCAAGTAGCTGGGATTACAGGTGTGTGCCACCATGTCTGGCTAATTTTTGTATTTTTAGTAGAGATGGGGTTTCACCATGCTGGCCAGGCTGTTCTTGAACTCCTGACCTCAGGTAATCCGCTTGACTTGGCTTCCCAAAATGCTGGGATTATAGGCATGAGCCACCACACCTGGCCGATAGCATCATTATTATTTGAAATTATTGTCCTTTTTTGTTTGTTCACTGTCTGTTTCAGCTACTTGAATATACACCCCATGAGGGCAGGGAGTTTTTTTGGTTTTTCTCACTGCTGTATTTCCGGTGCCTAGAACAGTGCTTGGCACATAGTAGGTGCTCAACAAGTATTTGTTGAATGAATGAATTCTCTTAATCACTAGGCAATGTCCCTTTGTATTAGGTTTGGAAGTAGAAGGAGTGTTAATCTTTTTGTTGTTGTTGTTGTTTTTTTTTTTGAGACGGAGTCTCGCTCTGTCACCCGGGAGTGCAGTGGCGCAATCTTGGCTTACTGCAAGCTCCGCCTCCTGGGTTCACGCCATTCTCCTGCCTCAGCCTCCTGAGTAGCTGGGACTACAGGTGCCCGCCACCACGCCTGGCTAATTTTTTGTATTTTTAGTAGAGACGGGGTTTCACTGTGTTAGCCAGGATGGTCTTGATCTCCTGATCTCGTGGTCTGCCTGCCTCGGCCTCCCAAAGTGTTGGGATTACAGGCGTGAGCCACTGCGCCCGGCCAGGACTGTTAATCTTAAGACCGATCATAACTGTTGAGTGTCACCTGATCTCACAGTCTTCCTGCCTCAGCCTTAGAACACATAAGAAGCCCCAGGAGGGAGGGTAGCTCTGAGTAGAGCTGTCAGGGGTAGCCGGGAGTGCACACACGGCCCATGGAAATATCCATTCTCACTCCTTTTCTGCTAAAAGAGGTGCAAGAGTGGAGAAGGATGGGCCTGGGCCACCAAGCAGGGAGTAGTAGGTGACCCCAGAGACATCTAGGGACAAAAACAGAACTCAGAGCTGAGCTGTGTGCTGAATGAAGGCTGCATCTCCAAGAGGCTGGGAGTGATGCTGAGTCCAGGTACCGGAAAGGAAGGCCAGTGGTGCTTCCTAAGGATGGGGTGGCTGCAGCCGTGGATGGCCCCAAAGCATGTGCCTGTAGAAGGGTGGGCACGTGAAGGATGAATTTGGCTGAACACCATCAGCCTTTTCCCACGATTCTTACCCCTCCCCACTCTCAATTGCAAATTCCCAGGAAAACCAGTTTAAAGTGGAGAAGCACTGGGCATGATTAATCCTCCTGCTTCACTCATCCAGGGACACTCAGCTTTGCCCTGTTCTGTGAGAAAAAACAAGAAAAAAAAAAACCACCAAAAAACCAAAACTAGTACCAGGGACCAGCCCCTTCCTGTTCTCAGCCTTCTGCTCCAGTCCAAGCACTTGGAAGTTTTCTCTGCATTAATTTCAGACTTTGTGTAAATATCAGACCTGAGTTTTTGGAAAGGAGTATACTTCAGCCCAAAGTTTCCAGCAGGCGCAAGTACCTTTCCTGGGCAGGGATCTTGGGCCAAGAGCTAAATTCCCTTTACTTGGCGCTGACTGCCAACCCTGCAGGACAGAGAGATCTTTCCTCTATGAGAAGGGGCTGGGAGACCCAGTGTGATGCTTCAGTAGCCTCCCTGTGTGGAAATTGAGCCCAGGTTTAATAAGTGACCTCCAGTAAATGTGTCTGGCAGCTGAGGGTCCTGATGGAAATGCCTGCTTGCCAGAAAGGGCCATCAGATGTGTGGAGTTATAGCTGAATTTCTGGACAAAGCAAGGGCCAGGTGCCTGGGATGTGGCTGTAGGGAAACAAGGGGTGACTAGTCCAATCCTTTCAGTTTTGGGGACAGATGCTCGGGTTCTTGGAGTTTAGTCCTTGGATCTAGTCAAAGGTAAGAAAGGAGATGGGTTATCTGTAGTCCAACCTCATTATTTGGACCCTAATTGCAACCCCTGATTCCAGGGTCTGGGAAGGACCTCACCTCATAGAACACATGTAGTTAGCGGCCAGGCGTGGTGGCTCACGCCTGTAATCCCAGCACTTTGGGAGGCTGAGGCGGGCAGATCACCTGAGGTCAGGAGTTCGAGACTAGCCTCAACATGGAGAAACCCCGTCTCTACTAAAAATACAAAAAATTAGCCAGGCATGGTGGCTGAGGCAGGAGAATTGCTTGAACCTGGGAGGCGGAGGTTGCAGTGAGCCAAGATCACGCCATTGCACTCCAGCCTGGGCAACAAGAGCGAAACTCCATCTCAAAAAAAAAAAAAACATGTAGTTAGCTCCTTGGATCATGGTTCTCTTTGAGAGCTGATGGAAGCTATGGACACAGTTCTTAGGAAATAGTGTTCACGCTCCTGGGATTTTCTGTATGATTTCAGGGCATTCACAGAGCAGTCCTTCTGTGCAGCAAAGGATTAACTTTGCCCGAAGAAAGGTTGGGCCCTTGACCCTGGCTGCCAGGAGGCAACCTCTAAGCCCTTGGAATGTCCTGTCTAATAAGAATCTGTTTATGTGGGAGGCTTGGGCCATGCTGGATGGCCTAGGCTAATGGTGTGATGTACGGTGGGGACCTTGGGGCACGAGGTATCAACCTGACCTCTGGAGGGACTGGAGACTAAGGTCAGCCATGTCTATATGACCACACCGCAGTATAACCCCTGAATACCAAGGCTCAGGTGAGCTTCCCTGGTTAGCAAGACTCTGTGGATGTTGCACATATTATTTCTGGGAGAAGGCAATGCTGTCTGCATGACTCCTCTAGAAGAGGACAACTGGAAGCTCATGCCTGGTCTCTCCTGGCCCCTGCCCTTTGTGCCTCTTCCCTTTGCTGATTTTCATCTGTATCCTTTTGCTGTAATAAACCGTAACTGTGAGTGTAACAGTTTTGCTGAGTTCTGTGAGCCCTTCTAGCAAATTACTGAACCAGAGGGTGGACTTGGACACCTCCCACCCTGATCCATGAGGTCAGTACATCCTGGCCAGGATGGTTCAGTGTTGGCTGAGTGGACAGTGAACAAGACCTCTTCATCCCATGGGCATCCTTCAGTGACACTGCTTTCCCTCCTTGGGACAGCCTTCTTTCTGGACCTCACATGGCAGGAATAATTGCCTTTCATCCAGAAAAGTTCCAAGCACTTCTTGCCTTTCCTCCTCTTTCCTTTCCTCTGTCAAACACTCACCATATGGAAGACTCTGTAGCAGGTGCTGACAGGGAACTATAGATGGACCAGCTGTGAATCTACCCCCAGGGGCTCACTGTGTGAGGCAGGGATGCAATGGGGGAATAAATCCTACAATATTGGGAGGCCAAAGCCAGAGGATTGCTTGAGCCCAGGAGTTTGAGACCAGCCTGGACAACATAGGGAGATCATCCCCGACAACTTAGGGAGACCACCCCTCATCCCCCAACCCTTCCCCCTGTCTCTACAACACTAACCAGCCATGGTGGTATGCAACTGTGGTTCCAGCTACTCGGGAGGCTGAGGTAGGAGGATCGCATGAGCCTGGGAGGTCAAGGCTGCAGTGAACCCTGGTTGTGCCACTGATATAGTTTGGCTGTGTCTCCACCCAAATCTCATTTTCAGTTGTAGTTCCCATAATTCCCATATATCATGGGAGGGACCCAGTGGGAGGTAATCGAATCATGGGAGTGATTACCCTCATGTTGTTCTCTTGATAGTGATGAGTTCTCATGAAGTCTGATAGTTTTATAAGGGGCTTTTCCCCCTTTGCTCAGCACTTCTCCTTCCTGCCATCATGTGAAGAAGGATGTGTTTGCTTCCCCTTCCACCATGATTGTATGCTTCCTGAGGCCTTCCCAGCTGTGCTAAACTGTGAGTCATTTAAACCTCTTTCCTTTATAAATTACCCAGTCTTGGGTATGTGTTTATTAGCAGCGTGAGAATGGACTAATGCAACCACTTCACCCCAGCCTGGGCAATGGAGAAAGACCTTATCTCAAAAAAAATTCCTACAATACAAGGAGAGCCCTTCTCAATGAGGGGCAGAGAGAGCGGGCTCTGGGAGTTGAGAGGATGCAGAATCTGCATCATCTGATTTGGGAGACCTGGGAGAGCTTCAAAAAAGAGGTAGGATTTGAGTTTAGCCTTGATGGACAGGTACAATATGACATGTAGAGGTGGGGAAAGGGCCTTCTAAGAGTAAGAGACTGAACACACAAGGCAGGGAGAAAGGAGCAGGTCCAAGTGGTGTAGCATTAAATAAAGTTAGAAACAAAGTGGGGCCAGATTCTGAAGAGGCCTCCAAGATTGGGCTATAGAAATTGACTTCATTCTGTAGGTGATGAATAGGCTCTCAGGGTTTCAAGGAATGACTCAGGTATGTATCAGGGAGAAACTACAGTCCTCACGATCTTTGGTGGTGGGCCCTTCCTCCATGAAGTCCCCCATCATGTTCCTATTATGATCCAGTTTGCCGTCCTCGATCACAGCAGGAGCACGTGCTGCCTGTAGCACCTGTCTGCCTCTGCAAGGAGACTGACTGGGAGGAGCATGCACTGGGTTTTATTCATCCTTGGGTCTATAACTCATCTGTGAGCACCTATCACAACTACGTCCTTTAAAAATTGCATATATCCAGGCTTGAGTCCATGCCAGCATGGTGCCCAGCAGCATTTTGAACATAAGCCTCATCTCGTTTAATGCTCACAATAGTCCTGGGAGGGGCACACTGTGATTAGTCCTATTTTAGAACCAAGGGGACAGAGGCTCAGAGGGGGTAAATAACTTATCTCATCTCCCTCAGCCAGTGAGTGGTAGAGCCAGAATTCAAACCCGGATTGGTCTGACTCCAAAAGCTGGGCTCTCAACTAGTTCCCTGCTTCCCATGTGTGTGCCAGGAATGATGCTAGGGGCTGAAGATAGTACCCCTTGGAGGTTTGTTCTAGTCCTCAAAGGGCCTTTGATAACTGTGCCCCCAGATTAATTTTTTTTAATTAAAAAAATGTTTTTTAGAGATAGGGTCTTGCTGTGTCACCCAGGCTGGAGTGCAGTGGTGAGATCATAGCTCACTGCAGCCTTCAATTCCTGGGTTCAAGTGATCTTCCTGTCTCAGCCTCCTGAGTAGCTGGAACTACAGGTGTGAGCCACCACACCAAGCTATTTTTTTTTTTTTTTTTGTAGAGACGAGAGTCTCATTATGTTGCCCAGGCTGCTCTCAGACTTCTGACTTCAAGCAATTCCCCCACCTCAACCTTCCAAAGTGTTGGGATTACAGGCATGAGTCCCTGAATCCAGCCAACTCCAGATTTCATTTAAATCATGGATTCAATTAACAGACATTTGCTCAGTGCCTGCTACAGACGGGTTCTCCACATGGAGCGAGTTCAACATCAGATTTGACTCAAAGAACCAAGGTACCTCAGGGCTGCAGAATAAGGCCTCCAACCCCAGAAGAGGAGAGACTTGCTCCCTAAGCCCCTCAAAGACCTCCCTCTAACAGCCTACCTGTCCCAGAGCAGTCACTGAAGAGCTGCAAAACCTTGACATGATGTTGCCCCCCGACACTTTGTTTCCTTCCTTTCCAGCTGTCTCTGGCATGTCCCCAGTCCTCTGCCAGCCTGTACTGGCTGTGTGACTGTCCCCTGCAAGGCTGTCCGGATTATAGTGCTTAATAGCCTCCCAACAGGATGCCAGAGCAGCTGCCCTCACAAAAGTGCCTTCTGGGGACTCATGCTGTCTGCTGCCTCTCAGTTCCTTCCAGTCAGGGTTTCTCCAAAGACATTATCCTCACTAGGAAGCTACCTTTCCTTACTTTAAAAAATTGATTATGTTTTCTCCTAAATTGTGGTAAAATATACATAACATAAAATTTATCATCTTAATCTTCTAAAAATGTACAGTTCAGTGGCATCGCGTATTCACATTGTTATGCAACCATTATCACCATCCATCTCCAGAATGCTTTTCACCATGCCAAACTGAATCTCTTCATGGGGTTGGCCCCTAAAGCTCCACACAAGTCAGAAACCAGGTACGATCAAAATTCCCCTTGAAAATCTTGGAGGAAGGCACCATATTGGAGACCCCCATGTTATCTTCCAATGAGTCCAACACAACCATCTGCCTTCCATTGCTGAGTCAGACTATTGAGTATTTGAGTGGCCAATAAATTAATTGGCTTGCTATGAGGGCCATATCGTATGAGAAATAAATATCATCAAACACCAGACACATGCTTGGTGCCTCAAGGTGCTCACACCATAAGAGAAACAAGGGAACTGGGGCCAACTCTGGGAATGGCAAATTTGGGTCTCTTGTCTCTGGCTCACTGAGGACACACACCTACCAGGAGGAGAACCTGCGGAATTTCTCACTAAAGTATTCTTTCTCCCAATGGCACACCACTGCATTGCAGCTGAACCTCAAATCCATTCAGACTTGGTGGGAGCAACTGTGCAGATTTTCCCTTATGGAAGAATGCACTCACAGTTGTGTTATCAGATGCAGTGCTGGGGCAAAGAACTAGGGCTCTTTGCATTCTACTGACAAGTACTTTTCATTGCAGACATGGCTCTCTCCTACCTAGACTGTGGGCTCCCTGAGAGCAGAGAAAACTTCTATCCCATCTTTTCTATCCCTTCCTGTCTCTGGTAGAGAGCCTGGCACATAGAATAGTCAAGTAAGGAAAACTGTTTACTTACTTGGAAACATGTTCATGCTATATCATTAAGCACAAAAAGTAAACTGCAAAATAACACATAGAATACAATTCCATTCTATTTTTCTGTATATCTATTCAATGGGAAAAAGACAGGAAAGACAGACAGAAATTTAACTCTGGTTATCTTTGGGTGGTAAGTCTATAGTATATTTTTATTTTTTCTTTTTTTTCCTTTTCCCTTTCTTTCTTTTTTTTTTTTTTTTTTTTCAGAGTCTCACTCTGTTGCGCAGTCTGGAGTGCAGTGGCATGATCTGGGCTCACTGCAACCTCCGCCTCCCAGGCTCAAGCAATCCTCCCACCTCAGCCTCCTGAAGAGCTGGGACTATAGGCATGCACCACTATGCCTGGCTAATTTTTGTATTTTTTGTAGAGACAGGGTTTCACCATGTTTCTCAGGCTGGTCTTGAACTCCTGAGCTCAAGTGATCTGCCTGCTTTGGCTTCCCAGAGTCCTGGGATTACAGGCATAAGCCACCGTGCCTGGCCAATTTTTTTTTTTTCTATCTTGAACCTTTATATTTCCTAAATTTTCTATGATGTCCTTTATTATTTTTAAAGGAAATCTGTCTCTAAAAATAAAGTGAATTTTATATCCTTTAAAAAAAAATCTACATTTGGCCAGGCACAGTGGCTCATGCCTATAATCCCAGCACTTTGGGAGGCCAAGGTGGGTAGCTCATGAGGTCAGGAGAGCAAGACCATTCTGGCTAACACAGTGAAACCCTACCTCTACTAAAAATACAAAAAAATTAGTCGGGCGTGGTGGCACACACCTGTAGTCACAGCTACTCTGGAGGCCGAGGCAGAAGAATTGCTTGAACCCGGGAGGCAGAGGTTGCAGCGAGCCAAGATCGCACCACTGCACTCCAGCCTGGGTGACAAATCAAGGCTCTGTCTCAAAGACAAAAACAAAAACAAAAACAAAACTACATTCAAGACAATCACAGGAGAAAATAGATTCCAGCCTTGGAAGGTCATTAGGAGAGCAGGAGTTTTATGTAAAGCCAAAGGGCTCCCCAGTGACCAAGGTGGCAGCCGACTGGGGATAGAAGGGGAAGGAAAGTCTCAGTGGGGAAGGGAGTAGGCTCCTGGTGTGTTAAAACTCTTGAGAATCAGATGGTGGGAAACAGAATTTTCTTCTGTTACTGTGTTCAACAGATTTGGGGCTCAAAGTTTTTCTCGCTCACAGCCTCTGTCTCCTGAAGGTGGCTCTGACTCTGAGCTGAAGGAATCCATATGAAGTTCTTGGGCATGGTGCGTTGAAATAAACAGGAGCTTACACACATACCTTGATCCATGGGGCCCATTCTGGGTAACAGGCCTCTTTGCTTCTTTTTCTTATGGTAGATATCAGGGTATGTGAGTAAAGACTGAGAAATTTGCCTTTTCTCTAAGCATAGTGCATGGAACAGCCAGGCAACCATGAACTTTGGAATCAGAGTCATGAGTTCAAGTCCTGGTCCTACCACTTACCAGCTATGTCTCAGTGTTGTTATCTATAAAATGGGAATAATTAGACCTATTTCACAGAGCTTTCTGCTGCTTCAGTGTGAAGTATGTGCACACCAGATTTCAGCTCAGATCATACAATGGCATTCAAACACTTTCTACTCAACCTGCCCAGTCTCTAGTTAGCATAAAAGCACTGACCGATGGGAGAATACATCATTTGTTTAATCCATCTCCCCCAAGAGAATGACTTCCCTTAAATCCCTTTGATGAAGCACAGGTCTAAATACATTGACAGCAAGTCAATAAAGGGTGTTATATGTTGAACTGAGTCCCTCCCACCAAAAAAAGATACCTTATGTCTAAGCCTGAACCCCCATTGCCTGTGAATGTGACGTTATTTGGAAACAAGGTCTTTGCAGATGTAATCAAGTTAAGATGAGGTTGTTAGGATGGCCCCTTAGTCCAATATAGCTGGTGTCCTTATTGGAGGGGAAGATGTCCTTGTGGAAATACAGACACACAGGGAGATCACCAAGTGACAGCCGAGGCAGAGATGGGAGTGACGCAGCTGCAAGCCAAGGAACACCAAAGATTGACAGCTGCCACCAGAAGCCAGGAAGGGGCAAGGAAGGATTTCCCATAGGTTTCAGAGGGAGCATGGCCCTGCCAATGGCTTGATTTCAGACTTCTGGCCTCCAAGACTGTGAGACTATAAATGTCTATTGTTTTAAGCTACTCAGTTTGTGGCACTTTGTTATGGCAGGCCTAGGAAATGAATACAAGGTAACTTTTTATTATAACACTACTACTAATCTAAAAACTTCTTTATAAACAACAGTCCCCAATCTTACTTGGTAGTCAACCTCAGGGTCGCTTAGATTTCTCAGGAAAACTATTTCCTATGTCTGATCTCAATGGCTCCTTCTTTTTTTTTTTTTTTTTTTTTTTTAATCAGTGCAGAACATTTCATGTCTTGAAATTGTTCTTGATGGTTTTTTTTTTTTTAAGACCTTTCTCTTCTGCACTTCTACTTTTTTTTTTTTTCTTGAGTTGGAGTCTCGCTCTGTCACCCAGGCTGGAGTGCAGTGGCATGATCTCAGTTCACTGTAACCTCCTCCTCCTGGGTTCAAGCAATTCTTGTACCTTAGTCTCCCAAGTAGCTGGGATTACAGGTGCCTGCTGCCTCACCCAGTTAATTTTTATATTTTTAGTAGAGACGAGGTTTCTCCATGTTGCCCAAGCTGGTCTCAAACTCCTGACCTCAAGTGATCCTCCCACCTCGGCCTCTCAAAGTGCTGGGATTACAGGCATGAGCCACTGCGCCTGGTCTTCCCCTTCTACTTGGAATCCAATCTTTGTGGCTTTCTTGGCCTGGCTTCCTGACCCTCAAGCTACCACAGGACCTCCCCTTCCATTCCCACTGATACACAACGTGGGCTCTCTATTTCTAGTGGAACCAAGAGAGGGGAGAACCATATTCCAGATCCTCCCTTTTATTAAGGAAAAAACAAGAAGTGAATGTTTTTTCCGGATTTCTGTCCTGTCTGGACTCAGAGCATCTTTTTTTTTTTTTTTCTGGGGTCCACACAGGACAAGAAAAACCAAAGTTTCAGCTGGAGGTAGAACTGAGTCTGTTCAGCCACCTTAACTGGCTGAGAACCACCAAAGGTTCTTCTGGTACATTTAGGATTCCCCACTCCCTAGTCCCAGGAGAGGAGGACAGGGGATGGAGGCAGAGTTCGGTAGGGCCAGAGGCAGCCCCCAGCCCTGCACCAGCACCTCCTGCCTCACAAGCTTCCTGATAGCATGGACATGCTGGCTAGCAGCTATGACACCTGAAGAGGAGTTCTTGTTGATCCAGCCTTTGTAGTACAACATCTGCAGCGCAGTCCCAGAGAAGGGTTGAAGGAGTCGGGTACAATCAATTGCAAAGGCTGCACACTGGCACAACTCGAGGAGTCGCTATTCCCATGGACCACAATGGAATGGCGCCCTCTGGAGTGATGCATTGTGGGAGCCCTGTGTACAGCAGAACCTGCCACACTTTCCAGGCCTATCAGGAGCCAGCCCTGGCTTTCGTCATCTGTCCTGTCCCTCAGCTAGCTGCAGGGTGGCAGACAGCATGTGGCTCTTCTTGCATTCCTGAGGCCCCTTTCTGCTCCAGGATGGTAAGACTATCTTAAGAGCATAAGTAGGCAGAAAAGCAGCTGAGAAACTTCAGTTTGGGCAAGAGGAGGCAGTCATGATCATCCAAAAATTCAGGTTCAGAGATACCAGGAACGGGTCTGGGAATGTTCATGATTTACAGCAGTTACTGTTTTGAGAGCCCTTGCTCTGTGGGAGGTACTGTGGTTTAGCTATATTATCTCATTTTACCCTCCCAACAAATCTATCGGGAAGGAGTCATTATACCCAATTCACAGATGAGGAAAACGAGGCACAGCAAGACTAATCAACTCTGTCAAGGTCACACTGCTGATGAGGGATGGCTGCTGACGAAGTCACTTTGGTGAGCCTGGAGCCCTTCTATCCCATCCACTCCTGGAAGACAATGGCTGAATGGATTCTTTTGTGAGTCTAAGCACTAGATGTCATCAGGAGGGGAACTAGGAATAAATATGTAGGTACCAATGTGCCAGAGTCACCATCACAACTGAGGAGAGACCAGAGGGAGCTGGAGGGTCAGGGGAGGTCCCCAGGGCATGGAGCTGGAGAGGACAGAAGCAGATTATTCTGGAGGTGAGGTGACAGATATTCAGTGTGGACCCTAGTGGCTGAGAAGAGGTGCTCACTGAGATCTACAAAGTCACGAAGGCTGAGTAGCCAGGGAGACTACATCTTATTCTCCATCCTAGCCCCACTGCCTGACCTGCTTCCTACTGTGGCACAGAGGTGCTAGGACCCTGCGGCTCAAAAGATGTAAAGGAAATGAGGTGAAAGATGGCCCTGGCACATGCTGGGTAGCCCAGTAGTGATAAGGCCCCAAAGGTGGTAGCACCTAAAACTATACATTTATTCCTAAAAGCAGCTCCTCCCTGACGATGTTTGAGTCATCACGAACTACTGAGAGAAGCTGGGGAGATTTGGGGTTGGCATATGGAAGTGGCCATCCCTCTCCTCAGTTGGGTCACTGGTGGCAGAACATGAGCTGGCCCAGGTGGTGGCCATTCTGACTGTGCAGAGTCCCTGAGCCATGGCCACAGTAAAGACATATTCTTTTCTGAGTCCCAGATTTCCTATATATGACAAGAGCAGAGTGCAACATATCAGTGGCTTTCAAAAGACAGAAAACTGGAGATGTTCTAATAGAATGTGGCTGTACACTTCTTGACCCACCTCTCTAGCCCCCATGGGGTATCATGGACTGACCCCCGCGGACTCTGAAGCATGGTTTGAAAAGCTCTGAAGTTATTTGTCCAGCCAACAAACTTTTCTTGACCACCTACTGTGTGCCAAGCATTTCCTAGGTGCTGGAGACACAGAGTGACCAAGACAGATGGGGCTCATGTCCCATGCAGCTTTTGCTGCATGGAGATTTCCAAGGTCCATCAGCATATTAAGAAGGGACCCAAAATTAACTAGGGTTAATTTTGTTCAACCTTGACTTTCTCTGAGGGATGAGATCCTTTTCACCTACAAAGCCTGTTGCTGGCCTTGGAAGGCATGTTCTATAGAAACCATCTTGGAGAACCAAGGGAGAAAAGGTCCCTGTCTCAGGAAGGGAAGTGGAGACAGGAGAAACTGGCCATGACCTCCTCACTCCCCTTGGTGCAGTGAGAAGGAGTGCTCTTTGTGGAGCTCAGGAGGGCAGAGAATCACCAAGGAAACTGACCAGCCAGAATTTCTAGATAATGATAAGTTAAAGAAAAATGCAGGGGATGGGAGTGGGGGTGTTTGTTTTCTTTAAATCAGATGGGCACAAAAAGAAAAGCTTCCCAAGAGGAGGTGACATTTGAACTTGCATGACCAGAATGAACCAGCCATGCAAAGCCCTGTGGGAAGAGCACCTGGGCAGGGGGACCGAGAGGGCAAAAGTCCTGAAGGAAGTGAGAGGCCAGGGGCTGCAGGGAGGTGGAGGAGGGGAGAATGATGTGAGGAGGAGGGGATACCAGCCAGCTTGGGGGCCTGTAGGCCAAGGCTAGGGATTGGGCTTGATTTTAAGTGAGACAGGACCATCTCTAAGGTCTTCTAAATGCCTCTGCAATCCCCAGGGGGCTGAGAGGAAATATGCAAATAACCTTGATCAATTGCTGTGTGCATCCAAGGGCGAGTCATTCTGTGCAGTACTTGCAGTGACTTAGGAGGGGGTGGGAGTCCTGTTTTCCAACCGCTGAAGCATCAGCCTTATCTGGTGTACATAAGTCTTGCTGACCCTGCTGTGTGCAAACCCGGGAGTCCCTGGGTCACTGAGAAGGCAGATCCAGAGAAGAGGGCAGATGGGGAGGGCCTAGATGGGGCTGCAGGAGGCCGAGGCGCTAACCCGAGGGCTAGGCTCCTCCTTCGCTAATGAAGCCATCCCCACTCCTAACCCTCCTCCCGCTCAGGAGTGGGTGTGGAGGCAATCTAAGCAATCAGGTCTCCCACACCAGGAGACCCTCTGTCAAAATATTGACAAGTCACAACAGAGACCCACTTGGGTTGCGTTTAGGAAACAAGTGGGAATCTCAGAACAAGGCTGCTTTAGGGGGATGGGGGAGAACAAAGCACCTGGCTGGGTCACGTGAGTCTGGGGTGGGGGTGATGCCCATGGATGGGGCAGTGAAGTCAGGCGACAGAGACAAGCATGCAAGCAGGGCACCTCTTTACTCAGCTCCAGGGGGCTGCTGTTCACCCCCATTGGTGCTAGTCCAAGTCTTCCAGGGGACTGGCACCCACTGGAGTCACCCAACAGGCCAGGGAACAACAGAGGGTTAGGCCCTCAGCTCACATAGGGGAGGCAGGTGGCCAGGTATGGATAGGGAACAAGTGGAGAGGCAGGAATCCCCTGGGGTCAGAGCCCCACCCCACCCCACAGTGAACTCCACTGAATGTTCTACCTCATTGTTGTCTTCTAATCCACAGAAAAAGGAAGAAAATGAGTACCCAGCATGGCCAGCCTTTAGAGGGAAGGTTACAGATGTGAGATGTGGGGCTTGGAGAGCGCTTGCTGGGTCAGTGAGTTCATTTGAGATTTAGGATTTTAAGCCCTACCTGGTGGGGTCTCCCCTTGCCCCTTGGCCTGGGTGCAGCTGCTGTATTCCTGCTGCAGGCTCAACCTGGGCCCGTGCCTAGATTAGCATCTTTTTAGGCTCAAGTCCCTCCATCTGCTTTAGGAAAAAAAAGCTTCACGGTCAAATTCAGTTTGAAAAACTTGGTGATTTCCAAGGTCCATCAGCATTTTGAGAAGCCCTGCAGGGAAGAGACCCAAAATTAACTAGGGTTAATTTTGTTCATCCTTGACTTTCTCTGAGGGATGAGATCCTTTTCACCTACAAAGCCTGTTGCTGGCCTTGGAAGGCGTGTTCTATACAAACCACCTTGGAGAACCAAGGGAGGAAGGGCCCCTGTCTCAGGCAGGGAAGTGAAGACAGGAGAAGCTGGCCATGACCTTCTCACTCCCCTAAAGGACAAACTGGGGGCAGTGGCTGTAGTCCTGCCCTTGGGGAAGGAAGAGAGCAAGTGGCCCAAGAGGCAGGGCTAGAGAGAAGATCTTAGAACCAAATACACTCTGAGGAACTGTTTTGGGCTTTAAACTAGGAGTTGACAAACTAGACCACAATGGAATCACCTGGGGCAATTTTGAAAACCACAGATTCCCCGCCTCCAAGCCCCCATCTCACTGAAGCAGAATCTCTTGGAGCACATTAGGGCTTCAGCCACCCGTATTTTTGAAAAGCTCCTTAGATGCAGCTAATTTTAGGGACTGAAGGCTAACTCTAATGACACCTCCAGGCCTCCTTTTCAGTGTCTTGTGACGTTGAAAAACATTTACTACATTCCTGCCTGAGTCATCCTAGAATCCAGGCTTCCCCTGAGCCATCTGGATATGCAGGTCAAAGGGAGATGGGCTGGAGGGGAGACAGGGAGCATCTGCTTGGGGAGGGATGGAGTGAGGGGAGGGTCAGGCCAAGGGTCCAGACTTTGCTGGGAAAAATCCCCTACACAGGACCCGAGGCGGCGGCTGAGGCGAGAAGGCCAGGTTTTCTGAGGGAGATGGGAGGCTGAACTCTGACTTGCCTTACACGTTTCTCTTCTAGAGGTTTTTTTTTCCCCCCAAAATTAGCCCTGGAAACAGCGAGGACATGGAGGGACAGAGCCAGAAGGTGTCCCAAGGGTGGACAATGGGTAACCCAAGGACCAAATCTGTTTAGAGTTGGGTTCTGATTGGATGTCACAGCATTGCTGTGATCTGACGCTTCCCTTTACTGGCTGGAATGGGACCTGCGTGGTGTGAAGGGAGGAGCCTCAGAAGCCTGGGTGCAAGAGCAGCCTGTGAACCCCCATCCAAGTGTCCTCCGCTCTCTGGGACTCAGCCTCCCCCTCTGCATAATGAAGAAGACGCTGTGGTGACCCATGAATCCCTTTCTGCTCCAGTGTTTCATGACTCTGTAAAATAGAAGTTCAGGAAAGCTTGACAGTTTACCCAAATCCACCCCTTTGGCTAGTGGCTTTTAGTTAGGCCTTACTTTATCATGACTTCAACTCCATTTTACAGATAGGAAAGTGGAGGTATTCAATGACATGCCTGCATTGAGATAAATCTCCAGGGTCCTGATCCTCATTTGGTCCTCTTTTCAGTAGCTGGGCTCACCTCAGCTCTGGAGAACCCCCACCCCTCTACCTCCCACTCCCCATGGGGATGCCCCTGTGGGGCTGTCACGGTGCAGCTGCTGTATCTGCAGTGCTCTCTGGAGGATGCAGCTGCCCGGTGCTGCAACCTGATGCAGCACGTTCTGGGAACCAGAGGTCCCTGCATCTTGCAAAGGATGGAGGAGTGACAAAGTGAAGGATTGCCCAACTGGGTATTCTTGGTGCTCTCTTTGTCAAGAACTGAAAGGAATTTATAGTACTATGGTTCATTCAACTAGTCTGTTGTATGTGCCTGGCCCTGGGTTAGGGACAGGGCACACCAGACACCAAAGGTGCCTGCATCGGCTTCAAGGCACCCCCACAGGCCTCCTTCGGAGGTCCTCACTGGATCTTGGCCCATGAGGGCAGGCTTAGCATCTCCGTGTTATAAATAAAGAACCTGAGGCTGAGAGGTGAAGCAGTTTCCCCTAGGTCATATGGCCATCAGTGCCCAGTCCATGTGACTCCAAGTGCAGTGCTCCTCCCACCACACACACTGGAGGGAGATGCTCACACCACCCACTGCCCCTCCCCCAAGCAGAGGGAATACTATGGCAACCCTGCCCCAAAGAGCAGCCTTCTTTGGCTTCCTGATCACACGTGTGGATGCTGTAATTTTCCATAGTGGGGACTTTAAAAGCCTCAAATATACTAATAACAGTTGCCATTTTATTGTATGTCTAATTTGTGCCAGGTCCTTTATTTGCTTTCAAACCTTCACAACTGTACCATGAGTCCATCTCACGGAAACAGAAACGCAGTGAGGCTCAGAGAGGATAACTGACTTACCCAAGGGGATACAGCTAGGATTTCAACCTCAGTCTGGGCCACCAAAGCCCACATTTTTTCTAATTTACCATGGGGGCTCGGACTTTTCTTTTCCTTTTCATTTATTGTCCCCTCTGCACTGCCTACCTAACTTTCCTTCTTGTCCTATCCCCTCTTTTCCAGTTGCCATGCCCAGTTGGGCATGGCCTGGCCCATGAACTAAATGAAGGTCTGCAGCAGGGTGTCTCAGCCTTGGGACTATTGACATTTTGGGCCAGATAATTCTCTATTGTGCATGTATGTGGGCGGGGGCTGTGCTGTACACTGTAAGATGTTTCACAGTACCCCTGGCTCTATCCATGAGACGCTAGCAGCAAGCACCTCAGTCTCCAGTGGTGACAACAAAAAATGTCTCCAGACATGGCCAAATGTTCCCCGGGGAAGGAGGGCAAAATAGCCCCAGGTGACAGCCACTGCTGTATAGAAATGAGGGGTCAGGTTCAGGTTGGTTACAGTCCGTCTTCCCCATTAGACTGTAAGTAGGTGGAGGGCAGGAAGAGTGAGTTGATTTATTCACTGCTATGTTATCCATGCCTAGCACAGTGCCTGGCATGTAGCAAGTGCTGCTGAAAGAATGAATGAATGATCTCTGGGAACACGACATATTCTGTGATGAGAACCTGAAGGTCTAGATCCCAGTCCAGATTCTTACCAACCTGCTCTGGGGCAGCAGCCTGGGGCATATCCTTCCCCTCTTTGGGCCTAGGTCCCTTTTGCGATCTCTTAAATGAGGACCATCACAGGCCTGGAAGGCCCTGGGCATCTGTGATCTGGGGACTGCCAGAGACCAGGGAGCTGAGGGAGGCTGTCTCCCAGGTCAGGCATTGCAGATCTGCCATGTCCTGTGTTTCTCCTTCTTACCCTCACCCCTCCAGTCAAATCAATTACAGAAAGACAGGCACCCCCGCCCCCACATACACCAAAATAGTGACCTACACAGAAGAGGTGGCTCCTTTTTTGAGTGTGTATCTTAAGAGGAAAAACATGTAACCTCAAAGGTAACCAAATATCCAAATCGTGATGCCCAGCATCACACACCCCAAATCCACCTATTCATGAGTTTAACAAAAAGCTTCTTTAGGATACACTGTAAGGCCATTGAGAGGGAGAGAAGTCACCTCTCACAGGCCTGGCCAGCCCGCAGGGCCCGCCCTGCCAGCATGCACACACACACACACACACACACACACACACACACACACTCCACCACTTATAAGGAGGCTCTGAGTTTTTAAAAGTAAACTCCACCGTTTCCGTTCTTGCCCTGGATTCAACTTTTGAAAAAAGAAACCGTTTTACCGTTTTCTCTACAAATTCCCCCTCTCTGGTCCTCCTCTCGCCTGCACTCCCGCTCCTTCTCCAGCCCTCCCCTTGTTCTGCCGGCCTCCCAGTGGCCCTTCTTCAACTGCGTCCAGGGGCCCAGACTCCCTCGCAGGGATGGCTGTGTCCTGTTGGATCTGGGGGAAGGGGAGCTGCCACTCCCAAAGTAGCTGTCACAGAAACGGGCCCTTCATCCCATTGAAGGGGCTTCCTTTAAGTTATCAGGGCGGCAGTGCGGCTACCATCAGGACACGAAGCATGGCCACGAGGCCAGGCCGTTGACAGCAGGAGAGGAAGGCTCCTGTTCCCAAGATGTGCTCCTGATCCCCTTTCCCAGGGCAGCTGCTGGCCTGTCCCCTCCCCTGCTCTACTTATAAGCAGACCTTCCTCCATGCCCTGCTTCCTCTCTGACTCTGGGTCCTCTTCCTTGAACTTGCCTTTCCCCAACTCCAGCTTCCACCTCAGCTGCCTTGACTCCCCAGCACTTGGTGCAGTGGCAGCAAGGATGCCCCAGCACCTGCCACCTAGGGCCACAATGCTGAAATTTCTGAGACAGAAACATCATTGGGACCAATATAGTAAAAAAAAAATTAAATAAAAATATATGCAAATATCAAATTTGTATATATTTGCATATATACATTTATATTATAAACATACATACCCTTATAGAGGGCTTCAAAATAAATAACAGAAACAAAAGTTTCCAGAAACAGTACTTACCTTTGCTACATAGGAGGCACTATGAGATTATCTGGTATTTCCTATTTTATTAAGAACCCCGCTAAATTGATCTCACAACCTGCAGTTGGACAAATCTGGTGCTAGACATCCCTGCAGCAGCAGAGACAGACTCAAAGTGGGACTCTAGGCAGGGTCTCATGGGCTTCCTTTGGCTCAGCTGAGGTCCTCCTAAGGGCCCAATAAGAAGGGTCTTGGGAGGAACCCAGTTCTAGAAGGAATCATTAAAAAGAAATTCACTGGCTGGGCATGGTGGCTCACGCCTGAATCCTAGCATTTTGGGAGGCTGAGGCAGGCGATCACCTGAGGTCAGAAGTTCGAGACCAGCCTGGCCAACATGGTGAAATCTCGTCTGTACTACAAATACAAAAATTAGCCGGGCGTGGTGGTACACAAGTAACCCCAGCTACTTGGGAGGCTGAGGCACAAGAATCACTTGAACCTGGGAGGCGGAGGTTGCAGTGAGCCAACATTGGGCCACTGCACTCTAGCCTGGATAACAGAGCAAGACTCCCATCTTAAAAAAAAAAAAAAAATTCACACCAAAAGTTAGGACACACAGTCTCTTATCAAGAGAAAACATTTGAAATTTTTGCTATCCATAACTTGGGGTTTGTGACCCACAAGGGGGCTTAGGAGCTGTTAGAGGAGAGGAATTAAAGTTTGTGGTGCTTGCTGAGAGCTGGACAAGGCACCCACTTTATGTCTTTTAATCTTCACAAAAATCTCTTATCGGAGGATTTTCTCCCCTTTTTAGAGAAGAGGAAATGAAGCCTCTGGGAGGCTCAGTACCCTTATCAAAGCCATGTAGCCAGCGAGTGGCTGAGCTGGAATTTGAATCCCAGTCTTCCTTGCATGCAGGCTGTCCACCCTCCTGGCTCTTGCCGACTGTCTCAGGAGGTGAGCTCTCTCTTGGAGCTCCCTCTCTAATTGGGGAGGGGGCATAAGAGGAGGAGAACGCTCTGCCTTGGCATGCAGGGGTGAGTGGCTGCCTGGGATTGGGCGTGTGGGTGTGAGAGAGATGGGGAACAGGGGCAAGAGGTGTGCCTGGGTGTGTGGAGGGCTTCCGAACATTAAACAAAATATTCCCTTTTAAGTATGATTGTCAGTGAATATTCTAGAAAAAGAAAAACATTCATTTACTACTAGAATTAAGAATGATAATAGTAATATTAATAATATGAAACAGTTACTGAGTACTTGCCCAGTGCCAGGCACTACGCTAAGCCCTTTGCTTGGGTCATCTCATATCTGCTGTTTATTGAGTACCCGCTGTGGGCCAGCATTGAGCACAGAGCCTGGCACCTAGGTGGCGCTCAGCAGATATTGGAGAATGAATGAAAATACCAGGCACAGCACTAGAAACTACACGTAAGAATATCTAAATTAAACACAGCTCAAGGTAACCTGTGGAATTCCAGCATCTCTCCAAGAGATATCTTCTTCCTTTGGACAATTCCTTCTTCTGAAACTTTTTATACTGGGGAGATCTACTATTCTGCAATCTTTCTTTCAGGTTAGAACCTCTCCTCCCCACTGCCGCTCAATGCTTCCTCCCCCAACGAGCTTCAGGGTTTTCTTCCCCATTGCCTTTCCATTTCCTGCAGTTTCTCCCTGGAGCCTGTGATTGACAAGCCAACACTCCTAAACCGTATCTTCATAGTGCCTCCAAACCCACCTTGCCCAGGGTGCATGAGCAACCTGATTGCTCCTTGTCCATGGCAACCCAGGACAAGAAAGAGAGATAAGGATTAGAACCCAAGAATTCTGGACTCTTAAATCAGGACGAGGGACCGACTATGGCCTCAGAAAACCTGGATTCTAGTTCTGCCCTTGACCCTAAGTCACAGTTCAACCTTCAGAAATTCATTGCACCTTTCTGGGTCCACTTGCCCTCCTCTTCAGACGAGGTGGGTGAATTTTCAAGGTCCAGAGTCCCCTCTAAACTGTCAGACACCCACCCACTGCAGCACCCAGGACCCCAAAACACCGTGCTAACCCAATTCAGCTTTGTATTTTCCTCCTGGCAGCCAGCCCCACAGAACCAGAATTTACACATCAGTCAACATGCTGGAACTCCAGCTTCTTCATGGTGAAACCCTAGTAGGATCCTGTCAGAACCCAGCTCATGACTGAAAGGAGGATAATGATGGAAAAGTTTGGGTTGGATCCTGTCTCACAACCAGAGACAAGCCCCCACCCCCGCAGCTTGCTCTGCCCAGAGTGTGGTTCAGTTGACATACTGACAGCCTCCAACCCAGCCCCAGGGTTGGAAAGGGCTCCTGCTCCACCAGCATTGGCTTCGTTTGAAGAGGAACCCACAGACGGAAAAACCGCTCGTGGTCGTGTGTCCTCAACTCCCCTCCCCTTTCTTCCTTGAGAAATGCCCCTTCTTGGTTGGACACCCGTGTGTTCAGGGCACTGCTCTCCTCTCCCCTGCTGGCAGTTCAGTAGCTCTGTCCCAGGTTCTGCCACTCTCCCCTGGGCAGACTCTTCAGGCACTCTGGTCCCTGGAGTAAGCCAAGTGGCCAAGGATGGACTATCTAGCCTCGGCTTAGGACCCGCTGTGTCCCTGACATAGTGTCCATATGATTTCATTTATTCTTCCAGACCCCGCGAAGGCCTTTTCCCTCTCAGCTGACAGACGGCAGGCCAAGGCTCAGGAAGGTGAAGCACACCTTCCAGCTCAAAAGTAGCACCTCGGGGATTTGAACCCACATTCCCTTGACTCTGAAGCTGCTACTCTGTCAACCATGGGTCTTTCCAGACCCTAGGATTTAAAATCACCTAGGTGTTTGGAGAAAAGGCTCCCTTGTTCCTTCATCCTGGCGGACTAGGAGACAAGTGCCCCTCCTCACGTGTTCCTTTGCCCCATTCACTGAGTCTGCAACAGCCAAAAAGTTTGCTCAACTCCACCGCGGACGCAGCCGGTGGATGTGCTGCGCCCCCGGCACACATAGCTCTAGGGCGGAGACCAAGGCAGTGCAGCCCCCAGCCCCGGGGCGTGCAGTCTCAGTCCCGTTCCTGGCTCGCCGGGCGCCCTGGGAGAGCCTCGCTCTGGAGGGAAGGAGACAGTTACCTTGAAGAGTTGGACTCCCTTCTCCAAGAACTTCAGTCCCACACACCTGGCGAGGCAGCTGGGGGCTCCTGGGGCCGGGAGGCCCGGGTCTCGCTGCGTAGCGAGGGAGACGCTCTGCGCGGGCGCTGCGCACCCCTCCTCCTGCCGGCGTCCTGTCCGCAGGTCCCCTCGGGCTGTGGCCGCAGCGGCAACTGCTGGGTTGCGGAGTCCTGGCTGGCTGAGGGAATGGACACTGAAAGGTGCCCGGAGACCCTGGCACCCGCGTCAGACGCCGGCCGGCGAGGGTGCTGAGAGAGAGAGACCTTGAGCAGCGCTGCGCGCGTCCTCAGCTCTGCGAGCCCCCTCTGGAGCGGCGGGGAGGTAGGTGGGCGGGCGGGCGGGCATGGCGCGCTGTGACACATACATAGGGACGGGCGGGGGAGGGGAGGGCCCGTGAGGGGTGGGGGCGGGAGGGGGCGAGCGCAAAGGGAAACCCCACCCCCAGGGACCGAGGGGCGGCCGACAGGGGGAGGGGAAGGCAGAGGCGTCTGGAGCGCGCTGGACCCTGGCTCCGGACCGGCGCGCCGATGGGGAAGCCGGCCTGCGCTCAGGGCGGGAGAGGAGCGCTCCCCGGGGCGGCGCGGACCCGGCAGCTCCGGGGCTGGCGGGAGGAAGGCGGCGCGAGAAGGGCTGGAGGGCCCGCATCTGCATTGCGGTCGGCAGCTCCGCAGTCGGAGGGGCCCAGGAGGGCTGCACCCTCAGAGAATCCCCAAGTGCCCGGACTCTGAGGCCGCCGCGGCGGGACAGGGCTCCCGGGCGCCCGGCGGGGTTCTGCAGCTGAGGCTGGCCACGACGCGATCTAAGGAGGGTGCAGCCCGCTACTGTCGGCCACGATTTGGAACGACCCTCACCGAGGAGCTGGCTGAAAGTTTTTTTGGGGGTGGCGTACACCGGGATGGCAGGGGATGGTGGAGAGGGGGAGGTAAGGCGTCAGCGGGGAGGCTCACGGGGAGCTGCGAGTCTCTGGGTCTTCAAATTCCCCGGGAGAGACCAAGGACATCTCATATGAAGCAGGAATTCTCCAGTGTCTCTACAGTACTCTTTAATACCGTTTTCAGGAAAAGGAGAAAAAGAACTAGCAGCTTTTGAATCCCTCCTATGAGCCCGTTGTGTAACATACATTAACATTTCATTTAATTTTTCCAAAGAGCCCAACAAGGTAAATATGGCAACTTCCCACCTGCCCCTAACCAAAGATGTGAAAACTGAGGCTCAGAAAGTGGTGGAGATCCCTCTTGAAGGTGGGACTGAGTTCGAGTCCCAGGTCTTGTGCTCTCTGCTACACAGGCTGCTGGTTGAGCCACAGCACCTTCGGAGGACTCAAGCTGGCTGGTGACCTTCAGAGTTCTTGTGGAGGAAGCTGGTGGTGCTTCACACCAGGATGTGGTGGCCACAGTCAGGATGGTGGTGGAAGCTTCCTGACCCTCTCATTGGGCAAGAAGAGGAAGAAGTGGAATCTTTCGGGACTCCCCACTACAGAGATAATAGACCACACTTTAATCAGTTCCTTGATGAAAAGGAACTGAAGTGCCTCGGTTTCCCCAGGGCGACTCCACTGGAATTATGTGGTTATTTTACTGGCCATCTCTGCCTGGGGGCGGGACTGGCCCTGGCCCAGCACATGCTCTGTGAGCCGCCTGTCTCTCCCCTGTCCAGGGCAGTGAAGCCCCGTCGGAGGGAGCATAGTGCCCACTCTATCCACCCACCTCTCAGAGCAATGGCTAAAGTGTTCCAGTGGTTGGCCATTCTTGATTTCACCCTTTTTCTACCTGAGCGTATTGAGTCAGGTCTGTAAGTCTTGAAGCATTTAGGACACAGACAAAATGCTGGTGACCGAAGCCCCTTAGGGGGTGATAGTGGCTTCTCTCACAGATAAAGAAATGAGATGAGGCCGGGCGCAGTGGCTCACGCCTGTAATCCCAGCACTTTGGGAGGCCGAGGCGGGCGGATCACGAGGTCAGGAGATGGAGACCATCCTGGCTAACACGGTGAAACCCCATCTCTACTAAAAATACAAAAAAATTAGCCGGGCGTGGCGGCGGGCGCCTGTAGTCCCAGCTACTCAGGAGGCTGAGGCAGGAGAATGGCGTGAACCCGGGAGGCGGAGCTTGCAGTGAGCTGAGACGGCGCCACTGCACTCCAGGCTGGGCGACAGAGCAAGACTCCGTCTCAAAAAAAAAAAAAGAGATGAAATCTTAATAGTTACTGGCCTCAATGCCTGGAACAGGGAGAAATGACCCTCTGGGAAAAAAACAGTCCCTGAAATTCCAACGAGGTCATGGATTCTCATGCCTGTGTTTACCTGATGCCTTGTGGGAGAACAAATTGCTCTCATTTGTAAAATGGGTTCATGTCAACATTCATCCTAGGGCAGGTGGGGTTAATGAAGAACAAGTCAAGGGCAAATATTAATTAGGCGATTTATCTTTGTATTGAAGGGAACAAATGTTTATTGATCATCTGGTTTTGTAATGAGTCTAAGAAACATATATTGGGCACCTATTATGTGTCAGATGCTGCTTGGTACAGCAGCCTCTCAGATGGATGCCATTCCCATTTACACACTAAGAAACCAAGACTCAGAGGCCATCAAGGTAGTGAATGGGATTGGAGTACAGGCTGGTATGAATTCACACTCCCTAGCCCTAAAGGATACAAAAAACCCAGGATAATGGCAACGCATTTGGACACTTTAAAGACAGTATTCAGAGAGTCAAAGGACATGCGTGTCAGAAGGCCCTTGGTGGCATACACAGGCTCTTCCTGTCCAACTCAGGAGCTCTGTTCCAGTGTAATATTTCTGAAGCTGGTCATCTCCTCTTCTGCTAGAATACTTTACAGTTGCCTAATGCCTTTTCCAGGCTGCCCGATGCAGTCTGCTGTAAACTGGCAATTTCTAACCTCTTGCTGCTCAGAGTATGTTCTATAGACTGGCAGTGTCACCTGGAAGCTTATTCAAAATGCAGAATGCCAGGTTCCCCAGACCTACTGACTCACAATCTGCATTTTAACAAGATCCCTCCCGTGTTGTATATGCCTGCTGAAGTTTGAGAAGCACTGTGCTGACATCATTCAGCAGGTTCTACTCATTCAATCACAAATCACAGAATAAGAGAATCTCAGAGCTGGGAAGAGCTCTTGGAGAACTTTAAGGACACCCCTCCATAGAGTATGTCAGTCCTGTCCATGATGTTTCCCTCAAGTAGGACATCAGACTCTGCTTGGATGTGGCCATGAGTTTGACTCCCTTCTGAGGCCACATCCATTTTTTTCACGTGGTTCTTGTATTTAGGCAGCTTTCAGCTTTCACAGAAGCTCATGCCCAATACTGTGGATTCAGCAGTGAACAAGACAGGCCCATTTCCATCCCCCCAACCCTAACCTGTCCCAGGACCTCCTGCCACGTGATAAACCTTTCTGTTTGGAATCAGTGATCTCAAGTCTCTCCCTTCTCCCTTTTGGATTGGGTCCAGAGGAGAGCTCACCTCAATAACCTGGGTCCTGTGCTTCTGGTAATGCAGCCAACATTTATGTGCTTTTATGACAGCCTCATCATGACTCATTTGGAGCCTGCAGCCAGCTCAGACTTCCTTTTCACAGTGCTTCTGCCACCTAGCATCTCCTTTGGCTTATCCTGGTACAATGGGTTTTTCCAATCCAAGTGTGGGGCTTCATTTTTGCTTCTTTTAAACATTACACTAACTAATTCAGTTTACTACTTCAGATCATCTTGGATTCTGACTCTATTATTCTGTGTGTTTGCCATTCCTCTTAGCAGCAGACATTCTACAAAGCTAACTAGTGTGCCACTTCTATGTTTTCATTCAGGCTGCTCATAAAAATATTGCCTGGGACGGAGATTAGGGCTGAGTTCTAGAGCAGAGCACTAGAGACAGCCCCCCTGGAATGAACGACATAATCCGATATTCCAGTTATAATGGCTGTGTAACAAATCACCTCAAAACTGAGTGTCTTAAAACAATAGTTATTTAATATCTCTCATGGTTTCTATGGATCGGGAATTTGGGAGAAACTTCGCCAGGCAGTTCTGGCCTGGACTAGCTCTTGAAGTTGTAGTCAGATGTCAGTTACAGCTGCAGTTAGCTGAAAGCTTGACTGGGGCTTGAGGATCCATGTCCAAGGTGGGTCGCTCACGTGATTGGTGAATTGGTGCTGGCTGCTGGCCAGTGACCTCATTTCATCTCCATAGGGCCTCCCGATGGAGCTGCTTGAGTGTCCTCATGACATGGCAGCTGGCTTCCACCACAGTGAGTGACACAGGGAGTGCAGTGCTTCTGTGTCATAGCTTTGGAAGTCCCACACAGGGCCAGCCCTGAACTAGTGTGGGAGGGTCATACAGGATGTGAATACCAGGGGATGGGGATCACTGGGGGCATCTTGGAGGCTGGCTTCTACACTCCATTAAACTAACTCATAGAGCATGGCCAGTCCCCCCATCCATCTGACTGTATTACCATGGAGTGCTTATTTCTGTCCCATACATGGGGACACCATGAAGGTACCTTGCTAAGTCCCAATATAAGGTGCTTGCAGAATTCCTCTGAAGCATTCATTCCAAACTCTTTTACAAGTGAGTGGCCCAATTCTGCTCTCTAGAGCAACACAGTCTGCCCCCATTTCAACAGGGGCAGCCTCCAGTTAGTGCAGGAGGGTTCTCACATCACCCTTCATGTCTCTCCTCACAGGGTCTTTGACTGTTTCCCAAGGGAGTGTTCTTCTGGAGTTTGCTTCTGGATTCCTCACTCTCTGCGAACCTTGTTTGTGGATGCCCCTCAAAAATGCAATGCCCGGCATTAGATGCACAAGCCCAGGTGTGGACTGATTAGAGGGGAGCCAGGACAACTCTTTTCTCTAACCATTTGGATATTCTGCTCCTACCGGTATGGCCAAACATCGTTGAGTTTCAGAACTACATCTCACTGTTGCTTGATATTTAATCTTGCAGGCAATTAAAATGAAGACTGTTTCCATGCGGGCCCCCGTGAAAGGGATTCCTGTGTATCTCAAGCAACAAAGAGAGCTGTGGAGCAAGGAGATTCCCTGTGTAATCGGGAGCACTGGATGTGAATCCCAGGTCTGGCATGGGAACCTTGGGTGAGTTTCTTAACCTCTCTGGATTTTGGTTTCACATCTGTAAAATGGAGCTATCTTATGGAATTGTTGTGAGAATTAAAATAAGATATGGAATGTCAGCCCCTAGTAACTGATCTGGCTCAAAGTGCAAGGATGGTTAATTTTCTTCCTTCCCCCTAGCCCCCACAATTTGGTGTGCCTGAGTAAGTACATTCTCTCCTGTGTGCTGTTTTCTGTGTTTGTAAAAGAAGCTAAAAATACCCACCTCATAGGAGTGTGGCAACAATGAATACTATATGTAATATGTGTAGAGAACGTTGTGATCCTTTTTGGAAGCAAAGGGCCATAGAAACATGATATAGAAAAGCCTTCTTATAGCAGAACTGGGCCAGGGAGTGGAGTCTAGTGAGAACTAGTGGAACACTTGAAAAGTGCTGTTTTATTACTTTAACACTGTACTAGTGGCAAAGTAGGAGGGAAATGTTATAATAAAGAACATGGAGACAGTTAATGAAACACTCACAAGCCTCCACGGGTCTGTGTGGAATAATGACATACAGTAACGGGAAAGTGCTGTGTCACCAAAGACATAGAAATTGAAGGGCACGTTTAAGGAAACTCTCTTAAAGCTTCAGTTTCAATTTTTTTTTTCTGAATTCATAGCAGATTCTTATTTTTAGTAAAACCCTACCATTTATAAAAGAGGAAATTATGGCAAGCATTTTATTCATTACTCACTAGTGTTTTTTTTTTTATCATTGAGAATACTCAGTGAGTGATGCTGAGTGGAATGTTACGTATCACCATCATCATCAGCATCCATCCCACCACCATCATCACAACCACCACCACCACCATCATCATCATCATCATCATCAACAGCTTTTTCCAAGCAAGTCTGGAATAAGAAGAGAAGTCGGAGGATTTAGGCTTTGTACTTCCTGGCAGCCCCAGCCCCTGAGGCTCATGCGATCCTGCTCACCTTCTCTCCCTGACCCCGAACCCTAAGGGGCTCCCGCACTCCAGATCGTAGCTGGCTCTTCTCTATTCTTTTCCTTATTCCAGCCATTAGAGTCTTTTGGGACTGGCTTCTCAACCTTTGTCACATTGGGCTTGATATTTTTAGTTTCTTTCAGTGGTAAATATTAGATTATTCAGAAAAATTGTTGTCCCAGATTTCCACACATGATGGTATAGATACAGAATATACACTTATAAAATAAGCAGAAATGATATCTCATGAACATTTGCTAGAATTGAAATAGAAGAGGTGCAGGCAGCATCCCCATAGCTTAAAAATGATCTGCTAAGATGTGGGCATGACTTTTCCCCACAAAACTTGCCACTCATTTGATATTATAGTGCGGGGGAATAGTCTTCCTGACATTTTAGTGGTTGTTATTGCTGTATTTTTTTTTTAGGGCATATTTTTTTAAGGGGAGAAAATGAAGAATATGTAAGGAAAAAAATCAGTACTTAGCTGGGTTACCTTTTATTCTTAGGACATTTACTTGTTAGCATTACAGTCTTAAAATAGTCTTCTACCAAATACATTACCAACAGGCATTTCCAAAATGCTGAGAGTACTCTATCTAGTCTCAAATTCTCAAGTTCAAAAAAATGGAATGCCAGTTCCTCCATGGGCTGACACAGCCTCATTATTATGGCCATATTTATTTACTTATTTATTGTAGTAAAATATACATAATATAAAATTCATCATTTAAACCATTTTAAGCATACAGTTCAGTGCCTTTAAGTACATTCACATTGTTATATAATCATCACTACTATCCATCTTCAAAACTTTTTTTATCTTCTGCAATGAAAACTATGTACCCATTTAATAATAATTCCTAATTACCCCTACCCTCTGCCCGTAGCCACCACCATTCTACTTTGTGTCTCTATGAATTTAACTACTGTCAGTACCTTATGTAAGTGGATTAGCGCCAAATTTGTCTTTTTGCGATTGGCTTAGTCACTTAGCATCATGTCTTCCAGGTTCAGTCATATTGCGGCATATGTCAGGATTTTCTTCCCTTTAGGGTAACACTTATTGAGCTCTTACTGCCTACCAGGCCTTGTGCTATGCGCTTCAACAGACCTCACAATCACCCTATGAGGTAGGGAGTCTCACTAACTCCATTTCACAGATGAAGAAACTGAAGACAGGAATGTTTAGAAAGCTGCCTGATATGGTTTAGCTCTGTGTCCCCACCCAAAACTCATGTTGAATTGTAATTCCCAGTGTTGGGGGAGGGACCTGGTGGAAGGTGATTGGATCGTGGGGGTGGATTTCCCCCTGGCTGTTCTCGTGATAGTGAGTGAGTTCTCACAAGATCTGATGGTTTAAAAGCGTGTAGCACCTCCCCCTGCACGCTCTCTCCTGATCTGCAATGGTCAGCTGTGCTTGCTTCCCCTTCGCCTTCCACTATGACTGTAAGTTTCCTGAGGCCTTCCCAGTCATGCTACCTGTAGAGCCTGCAGAACCGTGAGTGAATTAAACCTCTTTTCTTCATAAGTTACCCAGTCTCAGGTAGTTCTTTACAGCAGTGTGAAAACAGACTAATACAGTGCTCTACTAGTTAGCAATGGTTGCTAACTAGTAGAAGCAGGGATCTAACCCAGGCCACCTGGTTCCAGAGCCTTCATACTTTACAACTTTTAGGCCAGGTGCGGTGGCTCAAGCCTGTAATCCCAGCACTTTGGGAGGCCGAGGCGGGTGGATCACCTGAGGTCAGGAGTTCAAGACCAGCCTGACCAACATGGAGAACCCTCGTCTCTACTAAAAATACGAAATTAGGCAGGCATGGTGCCGCATGCCTGTAATCCCAGCTACTCAGGAGGCTGAGGTGGGAGAATCGCTTGAGCCTGGTGGGGCAGAGGTTGCGGTGAGCCAAGATCGTGCCATTGCACTCCAGCCTGGGCAACAAGAGCAACACTCCATCTCAAAATAACAACCATTTACTGAGTACTTACTACATACCAGGGACTAAGCTAGGCACTGTGCCAACACATTTCCCTCCCTCTCTTCCTTTCTTTTATAATATGTGATATATATAAAGTGCATCTTAAGTGTACAACTCAGTGAACAACATTGTAGTCACACCCAGGTCAATATGAAGAAACTTTCTAGCTCCTTTGAAGATCCCCCCACCCCAGGGCGACCACTATTCTGACCTGACTGATAGATCAATTTTGTCTATTTTTGAACTTGATTGGATGTTATTTTCCCAGGTGTACTCCTTTGGGTCTGCCTTTCACTCAAACTGGAGGTTTTAAGTCCCATTCATAGGGCAGCACTAACTACCCAGCTCCCACTGAATGCTGGCACCAGGAACTCAGGCTCACTGTTGCTACATCATGTTGTTTCTGTAGTAGCAGTAGTTATTATTTTTTCTTTGGGAAACCAAACATCTGGATTTTTGTGTAAAATCAGATGATGATTAATTTAAAAATTTAAAATATGGCATGTGCCAACACATTGAAGGGTACGTGCAATGACTGCATCTGCAGGTGGTGAAATAATTCTATGGTGACGGCAGTGAGAGTGGACAGGAAGGGACAGGAATCACGGATGGCCTCGAACTTCCGAACCTGAATGATTGACAGAGGTGGAGTTGCTGCAACAGCAACAGGAAAGTGGGGAACTGGGAAGCAGCTGGCTTGGGGACAAAAGATGGAGCGGGAAGTGCTTGGCTTGGGGAGAAAAGACGGAAAGTTTAGTTGTAAACAAGTTGGGTTTTTAGAGGTAGAGGGACATCCAGGGGGAGGCAGCCAAATGGCAGAGAAATGTGGGTCTGGAATTCAGGGAACTTATTAACCTAAGATAAGAATGGAGCATTAAGCCAGGTGTGGTGACTCTCGCCTGTAATCCCAGCACTTTGGGAGGCCGAGGTGGGTGGGTTTCTTGAGCCCAGGAGTTGGAGACCAGCCTGGGCAACAGGGCAAACCCCATCTCTACAAAAAATACAAAAATTAGCCAGGCATGTTGGTGTGCGCCTGTAGTCCCAGCTATTCGGGGGTGCTGCGGTTGGAGAATTACTTGAGCTTGGGAGGTCAAGGCTTCAGTAAGCAGAAATCATGCTACTGCACTCCAGCCTGGATGACAGGGTAAGATTCTGCCTCAAAAAAAAAAAAAAAAAAAAAAAAAAGAAGAAGAATGGAGCATTAAATTGTATTCAACAAATGCTAAAATATATCTTAATTGCTTACTAATTAAGGGAGAAAATGGAAGCGGCAGAAAAGATGAAGAAAGGGCGGCTATTGGACAAAAATGTAAGGATGCTGAGAGAAACAGAGAGATCTAGAAACATAGGGAGGGAATGCCAGAGACCCTCACACACCCAAGAAAAGGTGCTGCGTGTGAGGAGGTTCTAGAGAAAAAGAAATAGAGACATTGTCAAGCCACGAACTTTCATCGGGCAGACAGCTGGAGTTTAATTGCATGACAGCTGCATCTTGTGGCTTCTAGGACTTTGTGGCCAATGAACTTCATAAACAGTTGCATTTTTGCAGCTCTGTGCATCAGTGAGGCTGGAGCTTCTTGGCGCTTACTCCCAGACCCAAGGACATGAGATCAACTACAAACTTGGGGATCAGGTCCACCCTGAAGTCCCATATCAAGTCAGAAGTCCAACCCCCTAAAAGTGACGCCAACCTTCCTGAGGATCCCCGGCTTAATAAGGGTCTTGTGTAGCCTGGTCTGGAATGTACAGGGCCGTTAGAGCCAGTTTAACCTTTGAAGGATGAAGGCAAAGAGAGGAGATATGTGTTGAAATTCCCTCAGCAGGAAGATACTTTCTTGTTACCCCTTCTTGCCTCCTGTTTTACACAGTTGGAGAAATAGCACCAATTTGTCCTGCTGTATTGCCTATAGAGTAAAACCCTCCACCAGGTTTAAGTTGTGTGTGTGTTAAAGAAACAGTAGGCATACAGCTGTCAAAGGGACACATACAATGTAATTAGGTAGCAAAAAATTGACAAATCAGAGTGACTTAAAGCCTCTTAAAACCCCATCTCTACAAAAAATACAAAAATTAGCCAGGCGTAGTGGCGCATGCCTGTAGTCCCAGCTATTCAGGGGGCTGAGGTGGGAGAATTATTTGAGCTTAGGAGGTTAAGGCTGCAGTAAGCAGAGATCATGCCTCTGCATCCCAGCCTGTGTGTCCAGAGTGAGATTCTGGACAGATATTGGACATTTTTGTCCAATAGCCTCCTTTTCTTCAGCTTTTCTGCCTCTTAAAGTCTTAATGAGCAAATACGTAAGAAAATTAATACCCAGCAAAACTCACTGATAAACTGGAGACAGATGGCAGATATGGAGTAGAGAATGGCTAGATTGGAGTGGGGCTAATCAGGTAAGGCTAAGAGAGCAAGAAAAGTCCATGAATTACTTGGGGCATAAATAAGTAGAAATGACACTGGAGGGGCAGAAGGGCTTCCTCCCAAAGCACTCCCAGTCTGAAAATCAGTTTTTCCCTGTGCCCAGGTGAGCTGGGTCTCACTCCCTGTCTGAATCTCACACGCATGCATTTTCTCCTTATCCCTGCCCCCTCTGCATGCCAAGGTTGGAAACGCGGCTTTTCCAGAGTCAAAAGTCAGAACACAAGGCACCTATTCACCCTGCTGGGTTTGAAATTCTCCTCCGAAATTCCTTTAGCGGCAACGCCTTCTCTCAAGTACTCTGTGCATCTTTTTAAATTTCAGACATAAACAGCGCCGTGGCCCCGCCTGGCAACCCCCTCTCACTCTCCTGATAAAAATAGAAAGGGCTGAGGTGGGGAAAGCCGTGGGCACAGTGGGGGTTTTGTGGATCAGCTGTTTGCACGAGTGTTCCTGACCCTCTTTGCCTATTTTGGGGAGGGGTGTCTCCGGGGGGAGCTTCGAGCTGGATTCCCGGAGGATTTGTCATCCCTGGCACCTTGGCCCTTCCATTCTGGACTTGAGACACATCTCTGTGGTTGTGTGTTTAACTCCGTGTCCCAGGGAGAAACACGTTTACCTGTGGTTATTGGCTTGGGTGTCAACTCCGGTAGTTGTGGGGGATGGAAACGGTGGGGAAGGAGCGCAGGGGAGTGTTGTTTGCACAAGCCATTGGCATGGAAACCTTTGCTGGACCCTCAATTGTGCATGGTGGTGTGAGTTTAAGTCAAGACAGGCACCACGACCCCGTGATCAGGTGAAGGGCTTTTGGAGAGTTCGTTCCTGCTGTACAGGAGAGGGTGAGAAGTAGTAAACTGGCAAGTTTGCTGAGCTGGGGCTGATGAGAGCTGTTGTAGTCCCAACCACATCATTTACCAGGGATTTGAGCTTGGGCCTCAGTTTCCTCTTCAGTGAAAGGAAAATTGCAGTATGCCCATTGAAAGATGTAAGATGAGATCCTGTCGCTTCTCTGCTTGTAACCACCTTGTGGATTGGGGTTGCACTGAGGACACCAACCATAAGGCCTGAGTGACCTGGCCCTGCCTGCCTCCCTCCCCTCATCTCCTTCATCTCCCTACCCATCTCCCTTGCACTTCCCCTTGCTCTTTTCCAGATAGCACCACCTCATCTTCACATTGTCCTTTAAATATCAGAAGGCTTCCCTGACCCACCCCCACCTCTCCTCTGCCTCCGTCAACCTCTGTTACAGTGCCTCCATCCCTCCTAGCCCAGATCAGTTTGCTATTCACTGGTTTACTGTCCTCCTCCCTCCCTCACCAGATTGTGAGCTTCATGAGGGCAGAGACACATGTGCCCAGCTCCCATCACAGTGGGTGACACATGCAGTCCCTCAATGAATATTTGTTGAATGAATGAATAGGTCTATTTTGTTCTCTTTGTGTGCCCTGTGTCTGGTACATTTAGATACTCTGTGGGTGAATCATAATAACTCACATGCACTGGGCACCATGCTAGGCGTTGTTCTAGCATACACTTTATGTCTAGCAACTCATTCAGTAACCATAGCAATGTGATGGTTTGTTAATACCCATCACAAATCACTCCTTTTTGGTTTTTTGTTTGTTTGTTTGTTTGTTTTGTTTTGTTTTGTTTTGAGACGGAGTCTCCCTCTGTCGCCCAGGCTGGAGTGCAGTGGCGCAATCTCAGCTCACTGTAATCTCTGCCTCCTGGGTTCAAGCAATTCTCTGTCTCAGCCTCCCGAGTAGCTGGGATTACAGGCGCCCGCCACCATGCCTGGCTACTTTTTGTATTTTTAGTAGAGACGAGGCTCTCTAAATGTTGGCCAGGCTGGGTCTCGAACTCCTGACCTCATGATCCACCCGCCTCAGCCTCCCAAAGTGCTGGGATTACAGGCGTGAGCCACCGGGCCCGGCCACATTGCTGTTTTATACAAAAAGTAAACAGAGGTCCAGAAAGGTGAAGCAGCTTGCTTAAGATCACACTGCTAGCAAGTGGCAGAGCTGAGACTCAACACCAGGCAATTCGGTTCCAGAACCTGTACCTTTAATCCCTCACCATCCTGCATGAGTCATGGAGTCAGTGAAGGAGAATGACTAGCTCATTGCAGGTCTCATAAACGTTCATTTATTTCTTCTCCCCTCCCTACTCACTTGATTGAAAAGATCAAGTTTGGTCTTTCTGAGATGTAGTAAAGATGAGGTAAAGTATATAATGGGAATGGGTAGGGAATGCATGGGAACTCCACGGGTGGATGGATGAGGTCTTAGTAATATTTAGCCAGCCTCTATCCATTAGGGGATGGTGGGGTTGGGAGCTGTTTCAATGACAGAAGAGAAGGATGATTCTATAGGCAAAGGCCATGGCCTGAGGCTTGAGCTCACAACGGTTGGGAGAAAGGAAGAAGGCTAGAAGCCACATTCTTCATGACATAGCAAGTTAGAGAGTTGATGGGAGAACTAGAGTCACACTAGGATTCACGGGGACATGAGGCTGAAGACAGTGCCCCAAGGGAGACTTCAGATGAAGACCCACAGGCAGGAGCTCTCCGTGGCCGAAGAGAAACCACGGAAGAGGCCAAGTTGGTCGTCTTTAGTTGAAGCAGGCAAGAAGTGCTAGTACTTTGGAGGCTGATGTCAGACACCAGTTCCTGTGTCACAGCTCAACTCCTGGGACTCCATGGACAAGCTGGGCTTTGCCTCCTATAGCAGTCTAACCCTCACCCTGACCCCCACTGGAATCCACTGAATCCCGAAGAGCTGGCATCTTAGGCTCAGAGAACATCATCCACTTGGAGTCCACACTGGTTTGGCTTCTGAGGCACCTTTCTCTTTTGTTGTGTTAGGACTGAGGCATGGCTTGGACCCAAAGTCAGAAGTAGGCGATAGGGAAATAAGGTTAGACGGGGTCCCTGGAATTGGGTGATACTGAACACGTGCAGCTCTGGTTGGCCTTTGACTCATATTCCAGTGAGGACAGGCTGGGTTATGCTGCAGTAATAACAGCCCCCAAATCTCAGTGACTTGAAATAACAAAGATGTCATTCTTGCCCATACTCATGGCCAAGAGAAAAGGCTGGGAGCTTTGCACCAGGTCAACATCATCCTCACTCCAGCACAGGCTGACTGGAGCAGCCACCATCTGGAACACTGCTGGTTGCCATGGCACAGGGAAAGAGAACTCTGGATGCTCATGCATCAGCAATTAAATGCTCCAGCCCAGAGGTGGCACATGACACTTCTGGTTAGAGCTCATTGGCTGGAACTAGCCATATGACTTCATCCAACTAATGTGGAAGAGAAAGTGCAATCCTATGTGTCATGTTAGTGAAAAGCTGAAATATTGTGAACAGCCTCAGTTGCTATCTCTAGTCAGTTTCCCAGTGGCGGAATAAGGTTTGGGCTCCACTTGGCTATTTCAGTCACTGGGTTCCCTTCTTTAGGGGTCCAAATATTCCCAGTGTATGTGAGGGTCATAATGGTGCACTGTGAGGCCTGGCTGACCCCATCACTGGGTCCCTGCTGCCAGAATAGCCCATCACACCCTGATGGGGGCCCTGGACCTTTGGTGGAGCCCCATTTAGTGCCCAGTTTGCCCATGGTCTAGGCAAAGAGAGGAGGGCAGCCTCCTTCCTGTGACTGTTCCACACCAGGGCTTAAGACATGTTCTAGTTCGAAATCTTTCAGTTAAGGTGGTGGGTTCAGGGAGCTTGCCAGGGTGAGGTTTCCTCCTAGTCCTAGGATTGTTAGCTCCTCAGAAAGCCCCATTCCTCCTTCCAGCTTTATTCCTTGTCTCCTGGGACCAGATATTGGAGACCACCAAGCTTTCCAAAAGGCAGAGGCATCACGAAGAGGTGGTTGTGAGCCTGCAGGCTGCAAACTTCGCATCTTGGGACCCTGTACAGGCATAACTACCCATCTAACCAATGGGGAGCTCTCCTCACTCCATGAGGATGGATGCGGGCAAAGAATGGAGAACCTCATTGTGAGAACAAAGAAACCCACCCAGAGGCATTCCTGGAGTACACAGGGCTCAACGTGCCGTTCATGGCTTGTAAATAGCTCTGGGAAGTCTGCCCTTCTTCATTTGGCAAAGGAGGGAGTGGTAGAGCTACTTACTGGGAGTTGGGGAAGAAAAAAGCTAAGAGATTCCAAGTTGTCTGTCTTATGCAAGGCACATGGGACCAAATCCAGGGACTTGTGCTGGGATCAGAGTCTGAGAAGGTTTAAATTGCTTCATTTTTGGTCCAGAGAGGCCCTGGGGCCTTGGCCTGGTTCCATCCTTGTGAGTTCAGGAGTTGAGTAGTGATGGCCTAGGGAGAGCCAGGGATGGGGAATGGAGGTGGGGCTGAGGAACCAGGTCATAGGAGAAGGCCTAACCACCAACAGTGTGCCTCTGCTGTGGAGGGCAGGGACCACCTGGAAAGCCCATAGAACTAGGTGGAACTTGATGGATATTTGAATTATGTCCAGATTCAGGCTATTATGAATAAAGCTGTTATGAACAAGCATGTGTGTGTGTATTTTTATTTCTCTTGGGTGATTGTTAGTTTATATGATAAGTATATCATATAAATATAGTACATATCCATATACTGTATTTCTGTAGAAGTTTAAGAGAAACCAGAGTCAGAAAAGACACAGAAGGGACCAAGGAATCGGGTCAAAGAGGTTGAGTCCTTGGAATTTGAATGTCTGGCTGGAGCTGTGGATTGGGATCTGGGGGTGGAATAGTCAAGAGAAGGGACAACCAGCCTGGTTCTCTGCAGAAGTAGCCTCCCCAGGGTGCCTTACTGAAGGCCAAGTCTTGTTTTTGGGGCTTTGCTGATGAAGAATCTAGGGAAGGGATTGGCATGGCCCAGCATGGGCAAAAGACAGAAAGACAGGAGGCAGGGAAGAATGCCTGGAGAGAGGCCATCCTAAGTGAGCTTGACTCAGATAGGGAGGACCAAGGGGAGGACAGAGGACTCAGGGAGGACCAAGAGGACATGAACAGGAGGCAGCTGGTGTTGACCGTTCCATGTGTCAAAATCCTGCTCCATCATCAGGGCCCAGCTCGAATGCTGTCCCATCCAGAGAGCTGTTGCCAGTCTCTGGGTCAAAATTCACCTTCCTCTGTGATTCTATACCTGTCAGTTCTTGTCATAGCTGCGTTGGGCTGGAGTGAGTTGTGGGCATGTCTTTCAACAGCCTGAACTTACAGTGGGCAGGACTTCACTGCAGGACATCCCCAGCTCTGCACCTGGCACTTGGCTATTTGTGGAACCAAAGGGAAGGCAGCAAGATGTGATGGGCCCTTTCTTCAACTTCCAGAGCACTCTTTCTCCCGTGAGGTTCCAGGACCACCTCCTGAACAGGCACCTGGGCTGTTTATTTAAAATGCACCCTAGACTTGTCAAATGGGACTTTCCAAGTTTGGTCCCCCAAATCTACATTTTTTTTTTGCTTTCTTTTAAAATGAATTATATTTGTGTATAATAAAATACACTCATTGTAAGGGTATAGTTTGATGAGTGTTGATAAACTTACACAGTCATGGAACCATCACCACCATCATAATATAGAGGACTTCCTTCCCACCAGAAAGTTCCCTGATGCCATTTTGCAGTCAGTCACCTCCACCTCCTTGGCCCCAGGCAACCACTGCCTTTTGTTACAGCAGATTAGTCTTATTCCTTCTAGAATTTCATGTAAATGATATCATTCAATGTAGTGAGTTGAATGGTGGCCCCGAAGATTATATGTCCTGTTCCTGGAATCTGTAAATGTCACCTTCTTTGAAAAAAGTGTCTTTGCAGGTGAAATTAAATTCAGGATTTTGAGATAAGGAGATAATTCTAGACTATCCAGGTGGGCCCTAAATGCCATCATTAGTGCCCTTATAAGAGAGAGGTAGAGGGAGGGTCAACACCACACACACAGAAAGGATAGGCTATGTAAAGATGGAGGTGGAGACTGGAGTGATGCAGCCACAAGCTAAGGAATGCCAAGGAAGGCTGCAGCCACCAGAAGTCGGAAGAGGCAAAGAACAGGTTCTCCTCCACAGCCTCCAGAAGCAATGTGGCCCTGCTGACACCTTGATTTTGGACTTCTGGCCTCTAGAATGGAGAGAATAAATTCCTGTTGTTTTTAGCCAATAACAGTGTGGTTGTCACAGCAGCCCCAGGAAGCTAATACATACTGTATGCATGTACTGTATTTCCTGCATCTAATTTCTTTTCCTCGGCTGGATTTTAATATTCTTCCATATTATATGTATCTATAGTTCATTTTTAAATTACTGAGTAGTATTTCATTGTATGGATATCACAATTCACTTACTGATTTCACCTGTTGATGGATATTTGAATTATGTCCAGATTCAGGCTATTATGAATAAAGCTGTTATGAACAAGTTGTGTGTGTGTGTGTGTGTGTATGTGTGTGTATTTTTATTTCTCTTTGGTGATTGTTGGTTTATATGATAAGTATATGTTTAATTTAATATTTTAGTAAGAAACTACCAAATAGTTTTCCAAAGCAATTGTACCATTTTGCATTTACTTCACGTTCTCAGCAATACTTGATTTTGTCAGTCTTTTAAATTTTGGTTACTTGAATGTATTGAGGATTTTGAGATGAGGAGATAATTCTAGACTATCCAGGTAGGCCCTAAATGCCATCATAAGTGCCCTTATGTGGTTTTAATTTCTTTTCCTAATGACTAATGGTGTTGAGCATCTTTTGGTGTACTTATTGGCCATTTGTATATCTTCTTATTGAAATATTTGTTAAAATCTTTTGCTAGCTGTGTGTGTGTTGGGGAGAGGGGGTACATTGCTTATCTTCTTGTTGATCTTTAAGAGCTCTTCTTATATTTTGGATACAAGTTCTTTATTGACTACGAGTATTGCAAATACTTTCTCTGAGTGTGTGGTTCTCCTTTTTATTTTCTTAATAGTGAATTTTAAAGAGAAGTCTTTAATTCTGATAACATTCAGACTTTCATCTATTTCCCTTTATAATTAGTGGGGTTTTTTGTTCCTACCTAGAAAATCAATGCCATAAAGATTTATTTTTGTGACATCAAGGTCACAAATTTTTTTCTGTTTTCTTTGAGAAGTTTTATAGTTTTTTGTGTTTAGGTCTATGACCCATTTTGAGTTACTTTTTGTGTTTGGTGTGAGGTAAGAGTTAAGGTTCTTTTTTTTGTTACAGATATTCAATTTTCTAGTACCATTTGTGGAAAAAATTAGCTCTTCCCCATTGAATTGCCTTGGCATCATCGTTGAAAATCAAGATATAGGTCTGTTTCTGGACTGTCTATTCTGTTCTATTAATGTCTATCCTTATACCAATAACACACTCTCTTGATTGTTGTAGGTTTGTATTTTATAGTTTGTCTCAAAATAAGTAGGGTAAGTTCTTTTCCAAAATTGTTTTGAACATATATTTGTATATAAATTTTTAAATTCGCTTAACAGTTTCTACAAAATGCCTTCTGAGATTTTGATTGGGATTGAGTTGAATACATTTGGGAAAATGGACATTTTAACAAATATGATATATCTCTCTATTTGTTTAGGTTTGTTTTTTAAAAAATTCTTAGCAGTGTTTTGAAGTTTTCAGAGTATAGACATATTGTATGACCTAAAATTTCAAATGTTGCCTTGATATCTTCAGCCTCACAGGGCCTCAAAGTCCTAACCATGAGTTCCCTTGCTCTACCAGCTATGCCTCCCACCCCACCCAGCAGGAAAGACTCCCTACCTGGCCAGCTTCCCCTGCTAGATCAGCCAGACCAGCTGCACCCCACCAGATCCTCAACCTAACAGGCTTCAGTTCCCTACCAGCCGGTGGACTTGTTCAAACAAATCAATCACATCCTCCTGTGGGGACCAGCGGGTATCTCATCTTCCTTGCTATAAAGCCTGCCTCCCACAGCCCCTGCTGGTTCTCTCTGATTCCAAGTGTCACCCCTGCATGCCCCTGCATGGCATGTGGTGTCCTTCTCTCCTGGGCTGTGAGTCTATATGACTAAAAAATTGCTGTCATCTCATCTGTTCAGTATTGGGTGTTGCGTGTTTAACCATCTCATACTTTTTTTTTTTTTTTTTGAGTTGGGGGTGATGAAGTCTCGCTCTGGGGGATGAAGCCCAGGCTGGAGTGCAGTGGTGCGATCTCGGCTCACTGCAAGCTCCACCTCCTGGGTTCACGCCATTCTCCTGCCTCAGCCTCCCGAGTAGCTGGGACTACAGGCACCCACCACCACGCCTGGCTAATTTTTTTGTATTTTTTAGTAGAGACGGGGTTTCACCATGTTAGCCAGGATGGTCTCGATCTCCTGACCTCATGATCCGCCTGCCTCAGCCTCCCAGAGTGCTGGGATTACAGGCGTGAGTCATCGCACCCGGCCCAACCATGTCATACTCTTTAGGGCCAGGGATCCTTCTCTCACTAACAGGGTAAATAGGAGGCAGTCAGAACAACAGTTCTTATCTGTCTTTTGTTAAATATATCCCTAAAAATATTTATTTTAAAACATTTTGGTAAAATATACATAGCATAAAGTTTATCATTTTGACCATTCTTAATGTACAGCCCAGTGGCAGCAAGTACATTCACATTGTTGTGAAACCATCACTATCATCCATCTCCAGAACTTTTTCTTGCAAAACCGAAACTCTATATTCATTAAACAATAACTCTCCATTCTTCCAGCCTCTGGCAACCACCATTCTACCTTTTGTCTGTGAATCTGACTCTCTAGCTACATCATGTTCATCTGTATTGTAGCATGTGTCAGAATCTTTTTCCTCAATAATATTCCATGGTATGTATGCACCACATTTTATTTATCCACTCATCTCTCAAAGGATCACATTTTTTTGATGCTATTGGATAGTATTACTTTTGAGATTTCTTTTTCCAAATCATTTGTTGCTTAGATCTGCATTTTTACTAAGCACCTCTGGTGATTCTTATGCCTGCTAAAGTAAGAGAACTTCTGATTGCAGAGCTGTGGTTCTTAATGAGAATATGATTAATAATACCCTAATGCAAGGGCCTCACCTTCAAAGCACCTGACTTAAAGTGTCCCAGTTAAGCCCGCAAACTTGTATATTTTGAAAAAACAAAACTTCCTAGGAGACTAAGAGCTGGTGATTCTTTGCTTAAGAACAGTGGACACATCTCCTATTTTCATTCATGTGTTCATTAGACACATAATGACAAACACTTCTGTTGGGCTCTGAGATACCACAGTCAACAGGGATTAGTAGAGTCAGGTAGATAAACCAATCGGCCATTGCAGCCCCAGGTGTGGGGCGCAGATGAGGGTTGGGAGAGCTTTAGGGGCAGAGTGGGTAAATTTTGTGGTCCTAGCTGTCATTATGGCTGCTGCAGTTTGTGGATCTAAGGGTGCCTCTCTTTGTCCTACAAACATCCCCATGAGACCTGGCTACACTCCCATGCTGGTTGGACTGTGAGCGTGAGGTTAAGACTGCATGTTAAGTCCCTACTGTTGTGAATTTACTGGCTTTGTCTTGGGACAGCCACTTCACACTGCCTCCAGATGCCCTGTCCCTAGTGGAAAGTTTTGGTGTCTGGAGGTACAGAGGTGGCAGCTCTGTGGGCTCTGTTGGAGTTCAGTGACCGCTGAGCTGTCCGCATAACTTGGTCTCAGTCCACCTTGCCCTGTTTGTTTGCCGTCTGGGTTGCTTCTCCTCATAGGATTGACTGTTCCTCATGCCCAATTTCACACCACACCTGAAGTCATTTGGCCTTTCTTCCCTGCCCTCCTTCACCTGATCAGTGCTTCTGGGAATGTTGTGCAGCGTGATTGCTCAAAATGTGCAAGCCCAGCTAAATGGCCAAAGCACCCAGGCCCGAGAGGTGTTAACCCAGCTCAGCTTTTGATGGCTTTCTTTCTGGCCTGGGCTAGAGCCTTGCAGTTCTGTAAGGAGAGGGGAACTTTGTTGTTCTCCTCCAAAATGGCCCAGAGACCCCTGAAACTGCCTTTTGGCCTTGGAAGTGGGTGTAGACTGAATGTTGGGAGAAGCAGCTGCTCCTGCTCAGAAACGGCCCTGAAATAGTGGTTCTCAGCCCTGGCTTGCACATACGCAACACCTGGAGAGCTTTTGGAGCCCTTGATGCCCCGGCTGCACCCCAGACCAGCTCAACCAGAATCTCTAGATGTGGGACCCAGGCTGCATGATTTTCAAAGCTCCCTAGGTGATTCCCACATGCTGCTAAGTTTGAGAGCGACTGTTCTAAAGAGGCCAACATCAGTGAGATGAGGTGAGGCAGAGTGGGAGGGTCTAAAACCAATCTTAGTAGTCTTGCCTTCCTGGAAAGAACATTTCTTTCTCCATTTCTTTTTCTGTGTTTAAAATTAGAGGGGTATCATTGCTTGCTTTAAATGTGTACTCCAGCCCTGACTGATACTCTTCCAGTGTTAGGTCCTAGGATCATCACCTTTGGGTGCAAAATATACTCCCTCAGGCAGGGGAACAGGATGCAGAGGGCATTGGATGTGTTTGGCTCTGTGCTTTCAGTGATCAGCACGCTGTCACGATGTTGCAGGATTGGTGACATCTGGTGGAACAGGGAAGTACACTGGACTGTGACTCGGGAAGTCTGGTTCTTCTGGGGGCACCACGCTGGAGGCTTTTCCTGTGCCCATCTCACCACTCACGGCCTGATTCTCACGTTGGGCTCATCCTCCTGAGTCCACACCACCCCACAAATTCCGAACGCAGGCACCCTGCTTTTTGACCACAGCCACTTCCCCTTCAGCCCACTTTTAGGCCCTATTCTATACCCTCATTGGGATCTCTGCCTTTTCCTATCTTTCAGCCCTCTCCTTCCCTCTTACCTAGACTATTATTCCAATAACACTTTCGCCAGCCCCCTGAACTCCTGCACTCCTCCTATATTTTGTAGGGAGATTTGAGGCTGTAGATTACAATTCTGCAACTTCCAAACCCACCTGTGCCCTCACTCATCCTCTCCTTCACCTTTCTGTTACCATAGTGGAGCCTCTGTCCTTCCCTCCCAGGCTAATTCTCCACCTCACTGGGGTGCCTCCACCTTCCCCTTCTGTGTAGTCTCAGAACCTCACACTCATGACCTCTCTCTCTTTTGTATATTCATCCACTGGCTCTCATCTCCATCATTCTATTGAAACAGCTCTGGCTGATGCTGCTTGTAACTTCTGAGTTACTAAATCTGATGGATTTTTCACTCTTTGTTTGCCTGCCCTCTTGACCTCTCAGCAGCATGAGGCACAGATGACCACTCCAAAGCTCCCTCCTTTGGCTCTCTCCCAGTTTCCCTTTAACTCCGTGCCCACTCTTCCTTAGTTGCTTTTGTGGACTCATTCTTTTCTCACAAGCCATTAAATATAGACATTTTCTAGGCTAGGTCCTAGGTGCCTTTATTTTTCTGTTCATAGCTATTTACACCCTGAATCTTAATTATTTTACTTTATTTTATTTTTTTGAGACAGTGTCTCGCTCTGTTGCCCAGGCTGGAGTGCAGTGGCATGGTCATAGCTCACTGCAGCCTCAACCTCCCCAGGCTCTGGTGATCCTCCCACCTCAGCCTCCTGAGTAGCTGGAACTATAGGCACACGCCACCATACCTGGCTAATATTTTCATAATTTTTGTAGAGATGGGGTTTTGCCATGTTGCCCAGGCTGATCTTGAATTTCTGTGCTCAAGGGATCTTCCCACCTTTGCCTCCCAAAGTGCTGGGATTACAGGCGTGAGCCACCATGCCCAGCCCTGAACACTAATAATTACTGAGTCCTAGGTTTTGCACATATTTCATCTCTAGTCTAGATATTTCTTTTGAGCTTCCTTTTGAGTTGGATAACTACTCCTTTGTCCTGTTTGTCTTTAAAATTGTGATAAAAATGTGAACATAAAATTTACCATCTTAACCATTTCTGAACATACAGTTCAGTAGTTTTAAGTATAGTCACAGTGTTGTGCGATCAATCTCCAGAACTTTTCCTCTTGCAAAATGGAAACTCTGTACCCATTAAGCAACATTTATTTCCCCCCACCGCTTTCCCCAGCCCCTGCAGCCACCACTCTATTTTCTCTATGAATCTGACTACCCTAGGTACTTCACATAAATGGAATCATAGAGTATTGGTCTTTTTGTGGCTGTCTTATGTCACTTAGCATGATGCCCTCAATGTTCATTCATGTTGTAGCATTTATCAGAATTTCTTTCCTTTTTAAGCTTAATAATATTCCATCATATTTATATACCACATTTGGTTATCCATTCATTAGTGGATAGACACTTGGGTTGCATCCACCTCTTGGCTATTATGAATAGTGCTGTTACGAATATGGGTAGGAAAATACCTCTTTGAGATCCTGCTTTTAATTATTTTGGATATTTACCCAGAAGTAGAGTTGCCGGGTCACATAGCAATTTTATCTTTACTTATTTGATAGCCATGCTGTTTTCCACAGCAGCTGCACCATTTCATATTCTCACCAACAGTGCACAAGCATTTCAGTTTCTTCACATCCTTGCTAACACTCGTTATTTTCTGTTTTTTGATTGTACCCATCCTAATGGGTGTGAGGTGACGTCTTAATGTAATTTTGATTTGCATTTCGCTAGTGATTAGTGACATCGAGCATCTTTTCATATGCTTGTTGGCCATTTGTTTATCTGTTTTGGAGAAATACCCATTCAAGTCTTTGCCCACTAAAAAAATTAGATTATCTGTTTTTTGTTGTTGTTGAGTTGTAGGAGTTCTTTATTTACTCTGGATATTAATCCCTTATCAGATATATGAGTTGCAAACGTTTTCTCCCATTCCATAGGTTGTCTTTTCACTCTGCTAATTGTATCCTTTGATGTTCAGAAGTGTTCAATTCTGATATAGTCTGATTTGTCTATTTTTACTTTTGTTGCCAATACTTTTGGTGTCGCATCCAGGGAATCCTTTCCAAGTCCAGTGTCATGAGGTTATTTTTCCCTACTTTTTCTTCTAAGAGTTTTATAGTTTCAGGTCTTAGGTATAGGTCTTTGATCTATATTGAGTTAATTTTTGTTTATAATTAGAAATATATAATTATTTTAATAATTTAATAATTATAAACTATTATAAAATAATTATTTTATAATAATAAACAAATATTTTGTTTATAATTACAAATATTTGTTTGTAATTACAAATACAACTTCATTCCTTTGTATGTGGATATCCAGTTTTTACAACACTGTGTGTTGAAGAGACTATCCTTTTGAATGGTCTTGGTGCCCTTGTCAAAAATCATTTGACCATATTTTTGAGGGTTTGTTTCTGGGCTCTTTATTCTATTCCATTGGTTCTATATGTCTGTCTTTTTTTTTTTTTTTTTTTTTTTGACATGGAGTCTTGCTCTGTGGCCCAGGCTGGAGTGCAATGGCGCGATCTCGGCTCATTGCAACCTCCACCTCCTGGGTTCAAGAGATTCTTCTGCCTCAGCCTCCCAAGTAGCTGAGATTACAGGCACCCACCATCACACCCAGCTAATTTTTTTGTATTATTACTAGAGACGAGGTTTCACCATGTTTGCCAGGCTGGTTTCAAACTCCTGACCTCAAGTGAGCCACCCTCCTTGGCCTCCCAAAGTGCTAGGATTACAGGTGTGAGCCACCGTGCCTGGCCTCTATATGTCTGTCTTTAGCCAGTTCCACACAGTTCTGATTACTACAGACTTGTGATAAGTTCCTCCTTGTCCTTTTCAAAAAATTTCGGTTTTTGTTGTTTTCACAGACGTGTGTGTGTTTGTATGTATCTGTGTGTGAATAAACTTTAAGGAGTTCATTATTTTTAATAATAACAATAACAATAAAGAAGGCCTTAATATCCTTCCTCCCAAATCAGATCTTGCCCCCCTCCATTTTTTTGCTCCCCAGAGGCAACTAGTTCAACTCTTCCATCTTTTTCATTTAAATTCATATCCATATATTTATATAATATGTACATAGTGATGCTTTTTGGTTTTTAGGTTTTACGCATTTTCTCTTCTCACTGTGTTAAAGTAGAAGATTCAGCTCTCTTTCACCAAAGGCCTTCAGTATGTGCACACTTTCTGTCCTCTTTCTTCTCCTGATAAAGTTAAACCATAATTGTGGATAGGTCAGTGTCCAGCATCACTATGACTATGTAAGTGTGTGTCACAGCTGAGCCATGTAGTACACTATCATATATTTACATTTCTTGCAGAACTTTCCCCCTTCAACTTAACAGTTCTTTTGTTTTTGTTTTTTGAGATGAAGTCTCACTCTGTCGCCCAGGCTGGAGTGTAGTGGCACGATCTCGGTTCACTGAAACCTCCATCTCCTGGGTTCAAGCAATTCTCCTGCCTCAGCCTCCCCAAATAGCTGAGACTACAGGTACTCACCACCACACCTGGCTAATTTTTGTATTTTTAGTAGAGATGGGGTTTTGCCATGTTGGCCAGGCTGGTCTCGAACTCCTGACCTCAGGTGATCTGCCTGCCTTGGCCTCCCAAAGTGCTGGGATTACAAGCGTGAGCCACCCAACCTGGCCTTAACAGTATTTTTATTTGTTTTCTGTGTAAGTATCATTAATTTAACCCCAGAGGGTGCCTGGTGAGCCCTCTTGGCTCAACCCTGCAGGCCATGAGGAAGCCTGTGGTTTGGAGATGGGTCATATGTCCTGAACAGGGCAGCTTCCTTCTCTGGGAGAAAACTTGGTCACAGGGAGGTGACTGAAAGTAACATCGCTGATGGAGCTCTTTCTACATGTAAGGTGCTGGGCTAGGGTGACAGGAATATATATGACATTATTCCATATACTGGGACTTATAATCGAGTGACAGATGTTGAGGCCATCATTCCAATATGAGGCAAAGTTTGATAAGAACCATAGGAGAGACTGCAAATTTAAGAGAGACAGATTAGGAAAGTAAATTCTAGTTAGAGGACTCAAGGTGGTTCTGGTGTGTAAGCTGAATTAAGATTTCCGTGGGAGGATTGTTGGTGCAGAAAGAAGGAAGAAGCAGCGATACAGAGATAAGGAAATACAGTATGGGTTCAGGGAAAGGCAACAGGCTCAGCATAGGCACAGTATGGGATGTGTGCGGATGCATCATAAAAATAAGAGCTAATATGTATTGGGTATCTCTATGCTAGGCAGTGAGCTTAGCCTTTCATAGGCACTGCACGAGTGGCTCTCAAAATGTCATCACCTGGGAACTTGTTAGAACTTCAGATCCTTGAGCCCTACCCAGACATGCTGAATCACAAACTCTGGGAGTGGGGCCCAGCAATCTGTGTTTTAACACATCCTGAAGATGATTCTGATGCATACTAAACTTTGAGAACCATAGCACTGTACAATTTGATCTTTAAAACAGTGTCATAGCTAGACACTCATACCCCCACTTGATAGGTGAGGAAGCTGTCTCAGAGTGAGTAGGTAACTTGCACAAGGTCCAGTGGGGTGCTGGAGCCAGCTTGCAATGGCCCTTGAGAGCCAGTTGTGAGCTTCTCTTCCCAACTCTGAATATAGTGATATCACATTGGTAGCCTAAAATCGGCCATGGTGGAAATATTTATATCATAGAACTTGGCAAATGCTAGGACTGATTGGCAAAATCAGAACTTCACGTCCACCCTGAGAGCCTATTAAACACTCACCAGTGGCCGGGTGCAGTGGCTCACGTCTGTAATCCCAGCACTTTGGGAGGCCAAGGCGGGCAGATCACCTGAGGCCAGGAGTTTGAGACCAGAGACCAGCCTGGTCAACGTGGTGAAACCCCGTCTCTACTAAAAATACAAAATTTAGCTGGGTGTGGTGGCGTGCATGCCTGTAATCCCAGCTACTCGGGAGGCTGAGGCAGGAGAATCTCTTGAACCGGGAGGCAGAGGTTGCAGTGAGCTGAAATTGTGCCACTCCACTGCAGTCTGGGCGATAGAGTGAGACTCCTTCACAAAACAAAACAAAACAAAAATACACTCACCAGCGTATTACTGCTCAGATCCCTCAGTTGATAAGCTCTTGGTAGAAGTGGGTTTTGGACCAGTTAAACCTAGCGTCTGAATGCATGCTCTTAACCATTAGGTTAAACTTATTCTGGAAGTCCGGAAAGACAGGCTGAGGTCATAAGGTAGAAATCTTTAAATGCATGTCAAAATTTTGGGCTTTATTCTGTACACACTGGATTTTTCAGAGTTTTGAATAGATAAGTGATATGATTGTATGTTTAGGCAAGAGAACTAAATTGTTGGCCGTGGCTTTTCAATTTGCAAATATGGTGAAAAAAAATGGGATGGGAGTCAAAATAGTTGTACTTCATAGAGAAAAGCCTCAACAACCGTGGGTTGCCCATTTGCAGAAGAGGCTGTTAAGCACTGCAGAGCAGATGCCTCATGCCTCACAAAGCTTCCTTGTTCTTCAAGAGAAAGGTCCCCTGTCCGTCACTCTCACCATCTGCCACAGCATGTATGGGCCTTAATTAACACTGCAGCTGTTGGCCAGTGTTGTCCCAGAAGTCCTTGGTCCAGGTCAGGATTCACTCTGCAACCACTGTAGCAGACCTCTTAGTACCTACCCACATTCATTCCTCCTTCCTCAGGGAGCCTGAGAGTTTTCAGGCATCCCTCACATTAAGGCAGCCATGTGCTTCCCATGTATGGTGGGGGCCGGACCCACCTCTGGCCCTAGAGGGTGAATCCTGATTGGATTTTAAGCCAGTGGTTCTCAAACCTTTTTGGTCTCTGACTATTTTTTTTTTTTTTTTGAGATATAGTTTTGCTCTTGTCACCCAGGCTGGAGTGCAATGGCACGGTCACGGCTTACTGCAACCTCCACCTCCCAGGTTCAACTGATTCTTCTGCCTCAGCCTCCCAAGTAGCTGGGATTACAGGTGCATGCCACCATGCCTGGCTTCAAGTGATTCTCCTGCCTCAGCCTCCCAAGTAGCTGGGACTACAGGCCTGCGCCACCACGCCTAGCTAATTTTTGTATTTTTAGTAGAGACAAGGTTTCATCATGTTGGCCAGGATGGTCTTGATCTCTTGACCTCATGATCCTCCCACCTCAGCCTCCCAAAGTGCTGGGATTACAGGTATGAGCCACTGCACCCAGCCTGTCAGTTGTTCCTTGAAACAACAGGGTCACTTTGTTCATTTTCAAGAAAACGTCTGCCAAATACTCAGGTTTAAATAACTACAGTTGGTCAATTGTTCTTTCATGTAAAAATGATGTTTTCTGAAAAAAGTGGCTAGTTTAGTTGGTAACTTAATTGTTCCAATGCCTTTGCTCTCGATAACTCTTGTACTTTGATACAGCGGATGTGTTTTATGCTTTCATGCATTTTTCTTTTCATCGCACAAGACATTCCAAAGTAATGTTGAAAGAAGACATATGTTTTTAAGTGTTGAGATCTAGTTAAATGAATAATTCTTACTGCTTCATCAAGGGCATTCTAAAATGGAACTGGCTTTTTATATTTATTTATTTATTTGTCTGTTTACTGTGAGTGCATGGCAGCGAACTATCCAATGACTATGAGGACAGCTACCACTGCCTTGATGCTAAGGCCTCAGCAGTGTCATCCACCATTGCTTTTACAGCCTTTGTGCGCATATCAACACAGTTGATCTAGGATAAACCATAAGATTCAAAAACGTTCCTCAATACTTTGCCTATTTCAGCACCACTTGTGTTTGTTGCCAAGTGTTACATAAAAGAAGGTCTTCAATGATTAATTAGTGCTGATATGGGACAAATACAAGCAAAACAGTCAGTCCAGCCACATCTGTACACTCATCCAGTTGTTAAGGCAAAAGTACAATTCTGCCAATGAGAGATTAACTCAGTCTTCATGTTCACAGATAAATCTTTGATTTGGCAAGTTGCGTTAGCATTGGGAAGTGGTAGTGCTGTTATTTATTTTACTGAGTTTGTACTCAGCAGGCATTCAGCAGTGTCATCTGTATGAGAGATTTTATTAGTTAATGTAATTTGATTGCTTATGCTTCTGTGACTTTTTCATTTCTAGCTTGAAAAGATGTAAAAAACTTTTGGCTTTTTAAGGGCTCATAACATCTAAGTTTAAAACATTTAATTCCTTTTTTATAATAATGGATATTTATTTATTTATTTATTTATTTATTTATTTACTGAGACATGTTCTCATTCTGTCACCCAGGCTGGAGTTCAGTGGCACAATTACGGCTCACTGCAACCTCAACCAGCCAGATTCAAGTGATCTTCTCACCTCAACCTCTCCAGTAGCTAGGACTACAGGTGCATGCCACCATGCCTAGCTAATTTTTGCATTTTATTGTTGTTGCTGAGAGGTAGTTTCGCTATGTTGCCCAGGTTGGTCTCGAACTTGTAGGCTGAAGCAATCTGCCCGCCTTGGCCTCCCAAAGTGCTGGGGTTACAGGTGTGAGCCACTGTACCTGGCCAGATTTAATTCCTTTTTGTTTAAACTCTGGTCTTAAAATAATACCCCAACTTAAATGGCCCCATCGGGTCTGGGCCTAGGGTGCAGTAGCAAGGTGCTTAGTGCACAGGGTCTAAGGAGACACTCGCCCTACTGACCCTGCACTTGGGCAAAGCCGAGACTGACGCCTCCTTAAGTTCTGCACCCTACGCACCTTACTTGCCTCACTCTAGGCCTGGCCCTGAGCACCGTGAGGCTCTTGAGAAATACTCTGTCGCATCAGGCAGAATGAGGTAAATAGTCAATATCTATCAGGTTGAGAGAGAGATTGCTTTTATCATAGTTTTGCTGCTTCTTTACAGTTTCTTCCAGTTTCTTTGGAGTAGATCCCTCCTCACCACTAGTCGGCAAATTCTGTGACATATCACTTTCATCTTTTTCAGAATCTTTGGATTTAGGTGGTTTGGTGATAGAGAAAGCAAGTCTTCTAAGAACTCTTTTGAAAGCTAATGATCCATCCTTAAATGTAAAAAAAAATAAGTACAATTTATTTTATTTCAGAATAAAATATTATTAGTCCAAAAATAATAGGTATAGATTAAACTTAAGAATTCAGAAAAGCTTCAGAATATTTAACAAATAGTATTTCAAAATAAGACAACAGATTGTGCTTCCCGTGTTTCTACATTGGTGCAAGGAAAACTGGGGGTTTCAAATAATGATTTATTAGATAACAATGAGATTTTTGATTTTAGCAAGGGTAATTAAAGACAGCTAATCAGAACACAGTAGAAATCCTGAGAATAAATGGAGTGAATCTCTGGAAATGCATGTATTTATACCCTGAGCTTAGTTTCCTGAGAAAACATAGGCAGATAAAAGTGCACATGCTATGAGCTGTCCATGCAGTGACATCAGCACCTCCTGTACCTTCTGGAAACTCCATTGTCCACTCATGAGAGAAAGAGCACAAAAAAGGCAAATGATGTCCTGATATTTTTATTTTTTGGCAAGCCCAAAAGGATCTTGTAAGGTGTCTTGATATTATTATAGAAAGAGTTTTGATTTATAGCCCCACTGGAAGGGGTCCCTGGATCACACTTTGAGAACCAGTGGTCTAAGATCATTAGTCTCCTTGCCAGTGATTGGTTTAGGTATAATCATGTGACACAGTTCTGACAATGAAACACAAGGAGAATTCTGCTGGGTAGTTTCTGGAAGGTTTCCTAGCCCTTAAGAGAGAAATACAAGAGATAATCTCTTCTTCTACAGGACATTGTTGGAACTGGATGTGATGCCTAGAACTGTTTCAGCCACCTCATGATCTTGCATTACCCTTGATTCCTGTCTTCCTTTCCCATCCCACAGCCAGTGTGCTAGCAAACACCATTAGCTCTACTGTGAACATATATCCAGCATCTGACTACCTTCCACCACCCCCACAACCCCTACCCAGTCCAAGCTACTATCATTTATCACTTGGTTTATTGCAAGATTTTCCTAAGTAATTTTTCTGCTCCTCTTGCTCCCTATATTATCCATAGGGTAGCCAGGATGAGTCTTTTAAAAAGAAACCTAGTCATGTCACTCTTCCGTTTCAAAGCTTTCCCTCTCTCAGGATAAAGGCCCAAGTTCTTGGCCAGCCGCGATGGCTCACGCCTGTAATCCTAGCACTTTGGGAGGCCGAGGCGGGCAGATTGCCTGAGCTCAGGAGTTCGAGAACAGCCTGGGCAACACGGTGAAACCCTGTTTCTACTAAAATCCAAAAAAAAAAAAAAAAAAAATTAGCTGGGTGTGGCAGTGTGCCTGTAGTCCCAGTTACTCGAGAGGCTGAGGCAGGAGAATAGCTTGAATCTAGGAGGCAAAGGTTGCAGTGAGCCGAGATCGCGCCACTGCACTCCAGCCTGGGTGACAGAGTGAGACTCCATCTCAAAAAAAAAAAGGCCCAAGGTCTTGTCATGACCACAAGGACCCACCTGACCTGGCTCCCAGCGACCTCTCTCTGCTGTTCTCCCCCTTCCTTACTCATTCCCTGGTCTCCTTCTGTTCGGTCTCAAGGCCTTTGCCCTTGCATTTCTCTCTGTCTGCAGTTCTCTGCCCCTACATATGTGCATGGTTTTTTCCCTTAGTTCATTTAGGCTTTTGCTCAGATGTCTTCCCACCAACCCTCAGCCCCACCTGGGACTCCTTATCCCTGTTGCCCTGCTTTATTTTCCTCCATGGCATTTTTTTTTTTTTTTTTTGAGACGGATTCTCGCTCTGTCGCCCAGGCTGGAGTGCAGTGGCATGGTCTCAGCTCACTGCAAGCTCCACCTCCCGGGTTCACGCCATTCTCCGGCCTCAGCCTCCCGAGTAGCTGGGACTACAGGCACCTGCCACTGCGCCCAGCTAATTTTTTTTGTATTTTTCGTAGAGATGGGGTTTCACCGTGGTCTTGATCTCCTGACCTTGTGATCCGCCCGCCTCGGCCTCCCAAAGTGCTGGGATTACAGGCGTGAGCCACCGCGCCCAGCCCCCCTCCATGGCATTTTTATCTTTGACATATTATATAGTTATTTGTTTATTGCCTATCTCCCCCCCGCCCCCATCATAATGCAAGTTCCATGAGGGCTTTGTTTTGCTGAGTGCTATAACCCCGTTACCTGGAAAAGTGTTCAGCAGTTAGTAGAGCTCATTAAATAAGGATTCCAGAACAGAAAAAGAAGTATATGGAAAAGAGAAAATTGTGACTAAAATTTTCATAGAATTAAAGAAAGAGGGAAGAACTTGGATTTTAAAAGTTCATAGAGGACCAAATGGGGCAGAGTGACTCAAAACAAATACTCAAGCTAGATGCATTGCAGAGAAATCTCAGAACACCAAACACAGGAGAAGAAGATTCCGAAAGTTTATAGAAAAAAAAAGTAGATCGTATACAAATATAATAATCACATTGACATCAGACTTTTCAAGTGGAGGAAGCAATGAGACATGGAAAATAAGGTCTTGTAAACTACTTAGATTTGTCATGCTCTAAAAAATAAGTTTTAAATAAAGGTGAAAAATTGCTTGTAACAGTCAAAAACCAATTCTGGGTGATACCAATATGGCAGGGTGGGGATAATGTTGAGGAGATATACATACCAGAAAGAAGTAAGTGAGTCCTACAGGAAAAGAAATTGATAATGAAACATAAACATAAGTATGGTTCTTAAAAAGGGGAAACAAGTAGAAGAATAAAAACAGAATATACAACTTTCAATTCAGCAGAAGAAAATCTGATTCATGCAATGGAGATTAGAAAAGAGAGAGAAATTGATATAATAAATACAGTAAACACAAGGATGAAATAAATGTGAATATATTAGTAATTAAAATAAACATAAATGAGTTAAGTTCCCTGATTGGATTAGACTGCAGGTGGAGCAAAACCAAAATAAGATCAAACAATATGTTGTCTTCTAAGGACTGTGGCAGATGCTGGTACTATTCCCAGTCCTTTCTTCCTTATGGCTTTTCTCTATAGAGGTTAAAACCTTAAATTGTTACTTCCTTAGTATGTATCACAGTTGGGGTGGCCATGGGACCCAGTACTGGCCCATGAGACATAAATGGAAGTCTGCTTGACCAAATTGGCAGAAAAAGCAATAGAACACTTGTATAGGTCAGTAAGCATTTTTAAAAAATCAAAATTGTATTCAAAGGCTTCCTTCCATGTAAAAGCTCTAGGACCAGATGATTACAGCAAACTTTTAAGGGATAGACAATCCCTCTTTTATACAAATTTTCCAGAATATAGGAATGAAGTAAATAAAATGACCTCATAAGGCTGGTATAATCTTGAGTCCAAAACTGATAAAAGAACTCACAAGAAAAGAAAATTTTCGATTAGTTTCACTTATAAACATAGATGTGAAAATCGCAAATGAGAGATCAATTAAATTTATCAAATCTGTATTAAAAAAACATCATGATCAAGTAGGGTTTATTCTAAGAAAGCCAGGATGGTTCAACATCAGAAAAAAAGTCAATCTAATTCACCATATTAATGGAATAAAGGAGAAAAAGCATACCAAAGATGACAGAGACAATTCTATTGTATATAGAAATGGCTTTTGATAAAGTGCACACCTATTTATCATTTTAAAAATTCTTAGAAGATTAAGAATAGATGGGAACACCCTTGATAAAGCTTATCCAGCAAAAATCTCATACTTAAAGAGAAACTTTAGAGGCATTCCTTTTAATATAAGGAATAATGCAAAGATGCTTAGTATTCAACATAGAATTTAGGGTGTGGTCAATGCAATAAGATAAGAAAAATAAATAAAGGCAGACCAATTAGAAAGGAATAGGCAAAATTGCCATTATTTATAGATAATATGATCAATTCTTACCCGTCCTCCAAACACAGGGCCCAAAGTAAAAAGTTGGAAATAGGATGAATCTCTAGCAATACCACTTACATAAATTAAAATCACATATACTCACCAAAGCACTGTCTTTTTGAAGTTGCATAGGGAAAAAAGAATGCTTATTAAATATATTAGAACGAGGTTGTCAGTGGAGAGGGAATGAGAGTGAAGTGAAGTGAAGACAGGGGAAGTGGAAACAGGAGAAAATGGCTGTGTGAATGATAGTGTGTAAAATCTTCCCTACTCTTGGATACTTGAAGCTCTCAAATACAATGCAATGCAATGCAATATGATACAGCACAGTTCAATACAATACAATGATAAACTAAAAAAGTAGCGCAGAGGTGAAAACGATCTTCCGGGAAAGCCCAGTGCCCACGCTACTCCTGAGAACCTCCACTTCTTTCTAAACACGTTTTCCTGTGGCCTCAGAGTGTGCCAGGCCTGTGTGAGGCTCCCGTCAACCTGCGTGGAAAGTGCAGGACAAACTGAAACCCACTCTTTCCTCCGAGGGGGTGGGCGACCTCCCCGGGCAGGCCTGGGAGGCACCTTGGCCAGGCGGGCAGCTTGCGAAACAGCCGGGCCTCTGTGCGTCCCTGAGCTACCCACAGCGGCCAGGCTGCCGCGCCGGCCGCGGAGAATGGGCTTCTCTGTGCGCGCTTGTTTGCTTTGGTTTCAAGCTAAAAAAAAATGATTTCACACATAATTAGGGTTGTGGCAGCGAGATTGTGTTCGAGGTGCTTTTACTGGAAATATCAAGAGGAGGGACAAGGGAGGGCTGTGTTCCTCTTCCAGCCGGGCGGGGAGGAGGAGGAGGAGCCGCGAGGCGCTCTGGAGGGGACAACAGGCAGCGTTCAGGGCGCAGAAGCAGCTTACAGGAGGCTCGGGACAGGCCCGGCTGCGCGGAGCCAGGCTGGACGTGGGGGCGGGCAGCGCGTGCGATGTGTGTGTGAGTGTGAGTGTGGGCACGCGCCTGTGCTGTGTTGGTGGGTGGGGAGAGTGGGGAGGGCTCTTCTAACCCCTACCCCTTCCCCCATCTCTCCTAAGGCCTGTGGAGGAAAAAGAGGGGTCTCCATAGGAAGAAAAAGTGAGGGAGCAGGTAAAGGGTGAAGAGGGAGGCAGGGACCAGGGCCCAGGCCACAGGAGAGGCTGAAGGATGGGAAAAGAGATACCCCAGGAGAAAGCCTGGGCACGTCCTGTGAATCTGCACAGCCCCCCAGGAGGGGGCCCTTGGGAACAGCCCTACCCCAGGGGTCAGGCAACGTGAGTTCTAGCTTTGCCTCCAGATGTGTCCGGCAGGTCTCGGGACTTTTCCGGCCTCAAATATCTTCTTCATGAGACTAGGGCTGGACCATCAGCTTTTTTTTTTTTGCAGAATGATAGCCCATGAAAAAAAAATCTGTTAAGGAACACCAAATACCATATCTCCCTCTCGGAGATTCACGGTGCATATTGTACACTAAAGGCTGTGAGGCGTCCATGGTAAAATAGAACCCTGTTTTAGTTGGAATTTGTGTTGCCAAGCACCTTCCAAAACATTTAATTACAGAGCTCTCCACCCCTCTATTTTTACATAATATCTATTAACGTCTTGTGTGTTCCAGTTAGTATTGCTGCATAATAAACCATCCCAAAATTTAGTGGCATAAAGCAACCATTTTATTATGTCCATAAATCCTGTGGATCAGAAATTCAGACAGGATATGAAGGGGATGACTTTTCTCTACTCCTTGATGTTTGGGGCCTCATCTTGAAGACTGGGGGTGACTTGATGGCTGGGGCTGTCTTTATTCGCGTTCTGGCTGTGGGTGGGACCTCAGCCAAGGCTGTGAGCTGAAACACCTACACGTGGCCTGTCCAGTGGCCCTCAGGCTCAGCAGCCCCAGGGGTGGTCAGACATTTTACATGGGTCGGGGCTCCAAGGTGAGTGTTCCAAGAGACCCAGGCAGAAGCTCTATTGCCTTTTATGAGTTGGCTGGAAGTGTCAAAGCCACTTTAAGAAAAGTATGCAGGATGGAAGAGATTGTCACGGCCATCCTTGGAAAATACAGTCTGCCACACTCTGAGAAATGATGGGCTAAAGCTCTAAGGACCGCTAAGAACCTTTTGAAATCTGAAATTCCACCAGGACTCTGTCCCCTAGGTCTTGACCCTTAATCCATCTTGCACACTCAGGTTCAAATAGCCAGTTCCAGGCCCCCATGCAGCCCCTCCCCTGCCATGCAGCCCCTCCCCTGCCATGCAGCACCCATGTGGCTATAGGAAGCCCACCAGGAGGTATGATTTCACCCAGGCCAGTAAGACCCACAGTGTACTTGTTGCCCTGGTTCTAAAATCCTTTGGAGTTGGCTGTTCATTTCTTCCAAGAGAGGTTTGGTTGGGAAGATTTGGGCAGGGAAGGATTCACCAACCCCTGCTGAAAAGTCCTTCTCATGCCTGGTTTGGGGAGGCCATTTCTCCTTGACCATCTGTAATAATGAATACATATTTCATCTTTGTCCTGGCACAGAACTCCTAAAACCCTTGTAATTCCCCAAGTCACAAGAGTACCTTTGGTATACTAATGAGATGACTTTTGGCTGAGGGGCTCCAAGATAGCTTCAGGATCGGGGCTGGTTGCCAGAAAGCCCAAGGCATGGTTCTCTGGTTGGAACTTTCAGCCCTATCACCCCTAGCCTCTCATCTAGGGAGGGGAGAGGAGCTGAAGATTGAATCCAATCACCAATGGCCAGTGATTTAATCAATCATGCTTATGTAGTGAAACAACCATGAAAACCCATAAACAATGAGATTTGGAGAGCTTTCTAGTTGGTGAATGCATTTACAAGCTGGGAGAATGGTGGACCTCACCCCAACTCCCTAGGGACAGAAGCTTCTGTGTTCAGGACCCTCCCAGACCTCTCCCTATGCACCTCTTATCCTGGCTGTTCGTTTGTAACCTTTATAATATCCTTTATAATAAACTTATACTAGTAAGTTAGGTGCTTTTCTGAGTTCTGAGAACCATTCCTGCAAATCTTTGAACCTAAGGAGGGGATCATAGGAACTTTAGTTTGTCAGTCAGAAATACAGGTGGCCTGGGACTTGGGATTGGTGTCTGAATTTGGGGGCAGTCTTGTGGTACTGTGCCCTTAACATGTGGGGTGTGCATTAATTCTGGGTAATAGAGTCACCTCTAACTCTGTGCTAACTCTGGGTGTCAGAATTGAATTGAATTGCAGGACACCCAGTTGGTGTCCAGAGAGTTGGAGTATTGGCTGTTCTGAGGAAAGAACCCACACATTTGGTATCAGAAGTATTGTGGGCCGGGTGCAGTAGCTCACACCTGTAATCCCAGCACTTTGGGAGGCCAAGGTGGGCAGATCACCTGAGATCAGGAGTTTGAGACCAGCCTGGTCAACATGGCAAAACCCCGTCTCTACTACAAGTATAGCAATTAGCCGGGCATGGTGGTGGATGCCTGTAATCCCAGCTACGCAGGAGGTTGAGGCGGGAAACGGAGGTTGCAGTGAGCCGAGATCACGCCACTGAACTCCAGCCTGGGCAACAGAGCAAGACTCCATCTCAAAAAAAAAAAAAAAAAAAGTATTGTGGATAAAAATGGCTCATGCCGCCCTATATTCCTTGTCCAGTTTTCCCCACTTCTGAATCCATGTTCTTTCTCACGGAACTGTCTTTTGAATCATCCAAACTAGACACAGTAGTAGTGACCAGGGCAATTTATGCCAGTTATTGAAGAAAGAGCACGGCACACACAGGAAGAGAAGTCAGCTTAGAGTTGAAGGGTGAATGGAGGTTACCTAGGCAATGGGGTGAGGTAGGGAGGAGAATGTTCCGGATGTGAGGAACCTCGTGTGGAAAGACGCTGATGTGGTGAGGGATAGGACAAACCGAAGGCATTGGAGCCCTGTTTGTGGTTAGGGTATGGAGAATGGTGATGAAGATGTGAGATGAGGCTCTTGAGGTAGGCTGTCCGAAGTCTCGTAGATCGTGAAGCTTTTGGATTTTATCCTGAATAAGCAGAAGGAGGTTTTTGAGACAGAGGAGACTTGAGGACAAGTTTCATTTTGGAAAGCCCCCTCTGGCTGTTGCTAGAGAATGGATGTGAGGGTGATGTGGACAACTGGGAGCTTACTTCAGAGTGGATATAGAGATGGGAAGAAGTGGATGGCTCAGACAGATATTTAGGGAGCAGGGCTTGGCTTTGGTGGCTATGTGATGCTTTCTCTGTCAGAGAGAATCCTGGAGAAGTTTCCAGTTTAGGATGAGAAGATGAAGAGTTTGGTTCAGGGAATCGTGACTTTGAGCTACCTCTGAGATGTAATTGTCAAGGAGGTAGTTGGATATCAGGGTTGGAATTCACAGAAGAGGCTTAGGCTCGAGAAATAACCATGTGAGTCAGCATCCTGTAAATGGTCAGTGAAAGACGTGGACAGGGTGATCTTGCCCAGGGACTGTGGACAGGGAGAGCAGAACGGGACCTGGTTGTGAGGAGGTGCCTGGTGATGTGTGAGAATTCTAAGTGAACGCTCTCAGTTTAAGAGCCTTAACAAAATTGTGGGTGTAGCCCAATTACGAAATCTGAATGGAACCAGTTGAGTCTCTGGTCATCTAGCTGGTGCCATGTGAGAGCATGAACCAACCTCCTCTAGGGCATCTCTGCCCCTCCCTTCTATGGAGAGAGAGGAGACGGTGTAAGGTAAGAGTCTCTTGGTGAGAGGTGAGAGCCGCTGGGGACTGGAAGATCAAGACAGGTCTGAGCCTCTGCCAAGTTTGGAGAATTCTCCCAGGTTAAAAATGAATAAATTCCAAAACATGCTTATAGAAATAGTGACAAACATTAAAAAACTTTTAAATTTGGAAATAATTTCAAATTTATAGACAACATGCAAAAACAAAACTAGTACAAACACACCTGTAACCCTTTACCCAAACTCACCTACTGTCAACGTTTTACCAACATGCCTTACCATTCACTCGCCCTCTCTGTTCATCTGTCTTTCTATCTTCATCTATCTACTATCATCTATCTATCTATCTATCTATCTATCTATCTATCTATCTATCTATCTAATGTATCTCTATCTGTTGTCTAATTTCATTTCTGAGCTATTTGAGGGTAAGTTACATACCTCATGGTCCTTTACCCTTAAGTATTTCAGTGTGTATTTCCTAAAAATAAGGAGGTTCTTATACATAATCATAGTACAGTTATCAACTTCACTAAATTTAACATTGATACAGTGCTTTTTCTCAAATCTACCATTTGTATTCCAGTTTTGTCAATAGACCCAATTATTATTTTTTTTATAGCTTTTCCCCTCTACTATGTAGGATTCAGCCTAGGGTCAAGGTTTAAATGTCATGTCCTTTTAGCTTTCTTTAATCTGGAACATTCCACAGCTTTCTTGGTGTCGTATGGCATTGACATTTTTGAAGGAATACAGCCCTCTCCTCTTTCCTAACAGAAGGGTCTTCATTTGTGCTTGTTGGGTGTTTCCTTGTGATCACATTGAGGTTATATTCTTGCTGGAATACTGCGAAGGTGACACCGTGTGATTCTCAGGGTCTCACATCTGGAGGCACTGGATGCTCATCTGTCTCTCATTGATAGGAATTTTGATCACTTGGTCTAGGTGTTGTTCAACTTTTTTCATTGTATAGTCATTATTTTCTCCCTTGCAATAATAAACAATCTATGAGGACATACCTTAATATTATGTAAATATCTTGTCTTCATCAAAATTTCCTCCTGGATTTAGCATCCACTGATGCTCCTTGTCTGATCCGATCTTTACTGTGATAGTTGCAAAATGATGATTTTGCAATTCCAATGATGATGAAAATGATGATTTTACCATTCCAGTTTCCCTCAGTATTGTACATAACCAACTCTTCCTGTCTCCTGTTTATTTATTCATCTATTTATTATTACTATGGACTCATGAGTTCTTATTTTTTCAATTGTTTATAACTCATTGCTGCACTTAATTATTTTGGTGCTTATATTGCCCTAGTTTTCATCAGTAAGCATCCCTTCAAGCTGGGGCCCACATCCTTATGATGTTCCCATCATTTCTTTCAGCACTTACTTTCTAGCATAACAAAATGTTCCAGGCTTATTTTGTACCAACTCTTCCTAAAACTAATAATTTTTTTGAGGAGACTTGGTTCCTTTTAGTGGAGACATTAGACTCCACTAAAAGGACATATAGACTAAAGGGACATAAGATATTAGAGACTAAGATATGGGCAGGAGTAATAATACTACTATTGGAGTGGCTTTGCTTCTTGGAATTGTGGTGGATTTAAAACACTGATATACATTAATGGTTTTATAAAAATACAACATAGGGCCGGGCGCCGTGGCTCAAGCCTGTAATCCCAGCACTTTGGAAGGCTAAGATGCGTGGATCACTTGAGGTCAGGTATTTGAGACCAGCCTGGCCAACATGGCGAAACCCTGTCTCTACTAATAATACAAAAAAAAAAAAAGTTAGCTGGGCGCTGTGGCACGTGCCTGTAGTCCCAGCTACTCGGGAGGCTGAGGCAGGAGAATAGCTTGAACCCGGGGGTTGGAGGTTGCAGTGAACTGAGATCATGCCACTGCACTCCAGCTTGGGTGACAGAGTGAAACTGTGTCTCAAGGAAAAAAAAAGAACATTGTAGAATGGTGCTATTTGCAAGAGAATGATGGGATTTATAAAACCATATTATTTCATAGTGCACAGTTGTTCTGTGCTGGGATATTGAAGCTGAGTAAAGGTTGTTCTCTTCTATCCATCCTGGCAGTAGGAATCTGTGACTGTAGGAAGGGCTCACTGGGGAGAATTTCAAGAGTGTGAGTTTGAAGCACTTTGTGAATGCAAAGTCTAAGGCAAATACCCTTCTGTGCTGCACCCCTTTGCCCAATTCCAGCACTACCTGTTAACAGGCTAGCATTTGAATAGCATTGGTTACAAAAGTACTTCTACTGCAGATGCCTCATATTGTTCAAGAACAAGCTGCCCCCATAACCTTGTTGCCTTGACCTGGAGCTGACCAGAGACAGAGAGGCTGACCTTCTGCTAGGCACCTCAGTCCATCTCACCTCCAACAATGTATCTTTCTCTGGCTCCTTTGCAATTCCCTTTTTTTCTGTAAACAGTTGTAAAACATGTTGTTCCTCCTGGCCGGGTACGGTGGCTCATGCTGTAATCCCAGTATTTTGGGAGGCCGAGGCGTGTGTATCACCTGAGTCAGGAGTTTGAGACCAGCCTGGCCAGCATGGCAAAACTCCCGTCTCTGCTAAAAATACAAAAATTAGCAGGGTGTGGAGGTGAGTGCCTACTACTTCGGAAGCTGAGGTGGGAGAATCGCTTGAACCCAGTGGGCAGAGAGGTTTCAGTGAGCCGAGATTGCACCATTGCACTCCAGCCTGGGCAACAGAATGAGATTCCGTCTCAAAAAACAAACAAACAAAAATCCGTGTTGTCCCTCTTGAGCTAAGCTAAGGTTCTCTGGTGTTCAGTGAACACCAGAGAAGAGCTCAGATTGCCTTTGATGTCAAAGATGACCTAGGTCTTGTGTTTTGAGAAAAAACATAAATGTTTAATATTATTATTATAGCCTATCCCATTTTTAACATTGTGGTCTCACTCTCTGACTCTCAGTGCCCTGGGCCGCTGAGCTGCAAGTCTTCTGTAGCTTACCCAAGGGGAAGTGGGGTTACTGTACCCCAGGCCACCCTGCAGCCTCGCCCTACTGGAAGAGGTTGGATATTGGGCCTGAGGAGCTCAGGAAGAAGGGACTTAAGCAGCCTCTTATAAGAAACATCTTCAGTTCAATCTAACAAGGCTTTATTGAGCTGTACTCCAGTGCAAGGGCCCATTCTGGGTGCGGTGGGGAGGCAAGGTTAGGTCCAATGCCTGCCTTAAGAAGCCTTCAGTTTAGTGGAGAAACAGATTCAACCATCTGGAATCTGATAGGCTGTGGCTTCTGCTTTTAGGAGAGAGAACAATTGCTATGTAAATCCAAAGATGTGAGAAGTTCCACCAACTCCTGGAGGGGGTGGCATGACAGCAGGGTCCTGAAGGGCTGAGAATGAGGATGAGGTGAGGGGAAGTTGGAGGCAAGCAAGCCTTGCTTCCACAGACCTGGCTTCCCTTCTAAAGTCACCCTGGCTGGCTTTGGCTGAGGCTGCAAAGGCTGACGTTAAATGGAGAGTACATGGGATAGGGAAGCCAGATGGCTCTGGGAACAGGAACCCTCTCCTTTGTGGGTCCTTGCTGGTACCTGGGATGGGGACTAGGTTCCAGTGTGTCCACTGCCCAAGGCAGTGTCCTTGGGGGTAAACCTGAGGCCAAAGTCGGGAGCTTCAGAGAACAGCTGCCACCACTAACCTCTGTAAGGCAGATATCAGGAGAGACTATGACAAGAATGCACTGAGGTGGGATCTGGACAGCAAGGACATTCCCACTGTATACAAAGCCAGACAACCCAGGAAAGGGAATAATCGATCAGTCTGAAAACAGGAGCTGCTTTCATTTAAAACAACTTGTTGTTACTCCTGGGCTTTATAACTTAAATCATAATTTGCCTTTAGAACATGAGGAAAGAATAGAAAATTAAGTTCAGGAAGAAAAGCTAAAGAACTTGGCTTATTTAACAGGGAGAAACAGAAGCTCAAATGCCACTGAGCCACCAGTTCTTAAAAATTTGTGTCACTGGCTGGGCGCGGTGGCTCACACCTGTAATCCCAGCACTTTGGGAGGCCGAGGTGGGTGGATCATGAGGTCAGGAGATCAAGACCATCCTGGCTAACACAGTGAAACCCTGTCTCTACTAAAAATACAAAAAAAAAATTAGCCGGGCATGGTAGCGGACGCCTGTAGTCCCAGCTACTCGGGAGGCCGAGACAGGAGAATGGCTTGAACCCGGGAGGCGGAGCTTGCAGTGAGCCGAGATGGTGCCACTGCACTGCAGCCTGGGCGACAGAGCGCGACTCCATCTCAAAAAAAAAAAAAAAATGTGTCACCTAGAGTTACAAGCATCAAAGCAATGCTCCTATATGTCACAGATATGCCTTAATTAAATTCATTACATAGTGGTGCACTAAATAATCCAAAGAGCTCCTCCAGTTGTGGTAATAGTGAGGAAGGAGAAACACAGAAGTCCCATGTATCTGAGGATCACAACTGAAGGCATGCTATTGGGGTCAATCGTAAGCCATTGGGAAAGCCATCTTATTCTTATTCTGTTTAAATGACTGGCTACATTTATAGACCTTCTTATTCCCTCTGCAAAACATATTGACGGAGGTCCTAGCAATCTGAAATGCTCTCAGCTACTGTCTAGAACGCCTGTCTACTTCTGCTGTCATCTATTGAGTTTTCTTGTTGTTCTTGTTGTTGAACAAGAGTCAATTGTGGTCATTTCCCAAATTTATTTATGCCAGTCATACTTATTGTAATGAAATAATTTAAACAAACATTATATGATACAATGAAATACAAATAAGAAAGTAAATACAGTTGTTTCTGAAAATTAAATTGATTGCTTTGGGGAAAACACAGTAAAGGCAAGTCACTAAAGAAAAATTTAAAAAAATGAAAACAACTTCTTGTCTTCGGTCTGGTTTAAGAGCAGGTCTGTCTGGGACCAGATTCTGCGAATACAAATCTGTTTCTTCCTAGCCATGCTCTCACTTCAGAACCTCTGCACCTGCTAGATCTGCTTCTTGGATCCCCCTTCCACTGAATACATGCATGCCTCACTCTTTCACTCTCCAGAAGTCCTTGCTCATCTGTTACCTTCTCAGTGGGGCCTTCTCTGACCTCCTCATGTAAAACTGCAGCCCTTTCCACAAGCTGGCATTTCCTCTCCTTTCCTCTATTTTCCTCCATTGCACTACTGACACTTGACATGCTACATATTTTACTTACTCGTTTTGTGAACTATTGGTCTTCCTCTTCCTTCTCCTGCTATACACAGTAGAATGTAAGCTCCATGAGGGCAGAAATACTTGTCTGTTTTGTCCACCACTGTATGCCTAGTGCCTAGATCACTATTTGGCCCATAATAGGTCCTCAATAAATAGTTGTTGATAGACCCAGTACCTTTTTCAGCGAAAGGACCAGGCTGGCCTGTCAGCTCTGCATTCAGCAGTAGCTTCTGGGTGACAGTGTGATCTGTCTCCTAAGGCCCTTCACCCCAGCAACCTTGGTGAAGGGTCTTAGGAGAAAACACAGAAGAAAGGCTCTTTCCTGGTGGTTGATGCTCAACACTCAGGAGATTTCCACCTTGGGCAGTGAGAGCTGTTTGCAAATAAATATGTGCTCTGAGGCATCCCTAATCCTCCATGGCTGATGGTGAGTGTGGGAGCTTGGGCTGGTGCTGTGCTTCTTGTCACAGACATTCTCCCAAGTGGGCTCTGTCTCCTGCAGAACATGGGCCCTGGAGGTCTTGGCATGGTGGTGGTGGGCACCTGGACGTGGATGAATGCAGGGAGGCATGAGGTTGGCTGAGGGACCTACACTAGGTGAGGCCCATGGGCAGTAATGAATTGGTTTGGGTGGAGAACATGGAGGAGCAAGCTAGGGCCAGCTAAGTGAGAAGTGTGCTGAGTCCCGTGGTTAGGACTTAAAAAACCTGTTGCAACTTTTTCACCACAAGGAAAGACAATCATGATCATTTGGAAGGGAGGGCATTTGAATTCCCACTTTATATCTGTGATATATTCTAGTCCTTTCTGGACCTCTTGCATGCACTATGCAGTACCAAGTGATTTCTATCTTGAGTTCCCCAATTGTTTGATGTGTCTTGGTAATGATAGTAATAATAATAATAATAATAATTTCTTTCAGTTTTATAGCATGCTAAAGTCTCATACAATTCCTTTATATGCCTTTCATTTAATACACCCTACAACCAGTGAGTTAGTGCCATGTGCATTCTACAGATGAAGGACCCTGAAGCTTAGACCATTTGAGAGACCTGGGCAAAGTCTCTCAGCTGGTAAGTGGGGGAGCTGAACTTGAGACCAGACGTCGTGACCTTATGCATCCTGGGTTCTGTCCATTATAGCACAGTTATCTCCTGCTTGGGTTGAGAGTTACTTAAAAACAGGATCATATTTCATGCTTTCAAAATCCTGTTGTTCAAAATAATTAGTACAAATTTCAGTTCACAAAATCCAGTGTACAAAAAAAATGTTACTTTATCTTATGGTGACTTACCTCTGCTCCAAGTCCTGTTTCCATTGCACGGTGGGAAATATTAATATCTCAGTCAACCCATCGTTCCTCCTTCTTTCTCCTAGAGTTGTGCCAAGGGGTTGGGGCTGGGGCTGTGGGTTACTCCTATACCATTCTTGTCTCCATAGGAGAGGGTCCTTCAGGTTGGATAACTCTCCTTGTCCTCCAGGGCCACCCTTGCACACACGGGTGCCTCCCTGCTCTGCTGGGACATGGGAGCTTAGTGAAGGTGCTTAGGCCTGTCTTCTGCCTGGATACCCCACTCAGACATCTCTACCTGGGCTTGTTGCCATCTCCTCATTACTCTCAGATCTCAGATTTTATGAACCTTTTCATTACCTCCATCCTGACCAGAGGTGGGGACAGAAAGAGGCTCCACTTCCCCTGGACACACCAGCATCTCCACTCTCCGGGTCTCTTACCCATAATCAGGGGCCTCTTGTCTGGCCTCTGGGCTCCAAGCCTGTTCTTTCACTGCACATTCTTTGCAAACCTTTGCTAAAGTCTTCTCATTACCTCTAGGGCTTCAACTCAGAAGCCAGGAGAAGTCTCATTTTTTTTTTCTGTCATTCTGCCTCATTACCCCTCCTCTGAGGCAAAAGATGCCACATGCCAGATCTGCTGGAATGCAGAAAGGGCCACAGGATACACAACAAAACCCAAGTTAACATTTCAAAATAATCATCTCAGCACAGTGGTGATATGTTCATCCCATAGTAGATGCCCAAAAATTCCTTGATCTTATCGAGGACAAATAGCTCCAGCATGCATTGGATAAACCAGGCTGGAGGCAAAAAGTGTGGGTTTGAATCCTGGCTCCACCACTTACTCGCTGTGTGACATTGTACAAGTTACCTGCCCTTTCTGTGCTTCACCTTCCTTATGTGTGAAATGGATATAGTAACAACTTCAGAGAGTTGTTATGAGGGCTAAACAAAAAAGATATGGAAAGCACAGGGAGCAGCACATGGCACATAATAAATTCTCAATACACATTAAGCATTATTTTATTTATTTATTTATTTATTTATTTATTTTGAGATGGAGTTTTGCTCTGTTGCCCAGGCCAGAGTGCAGTGGCACGATCTCGGCTCACTGCAAGCTCCATCTCCTGGGTTCACGCCATTCTCCTGCCTTAGCCTCCCGAGTAGTTGGGACTACAGGCACCCACCACCATGCCTGGCTAATTTTTTATGTGTGTGTGTGTGTGTGTGTGTTTTTAGTAGAGACAGCGTTTCACCATGTTCACGAGGATGGTCTCGATCTCCTGACCTCGTGATCCACCCACCTCGGCCTCCCAAAGTGCTGGGATATTAGTGAGGTCTTTGGGCTCAGATAAAACCTTGGAAATCTACTCAGGAACATGATTAAAAGCTTGGTCAAGGTTTGGGACGATGTCCTGACACTGTCTGGAGTATTGCCTGCTCTGCACTCTGCATTAATCTCTAATGGCGGTCAGCAGGAGATTAAAGCTGCCACTTTTTTTGGTCGTAACAGGCATTGTGGTTTGGCATGGAAAACAAGGTCCCTCTGGGGACATATAACTTCATATTTACCAGCATTTATATGAAAGAAGATGAAGTATTTATAATAAGAAATCAAATTGGTTTGCTAGCCAAATGCATTAACCGTAGAATACCGAATAGAATGAAGATGAACAGAAAGCATCCGTATCCTAGAGCTGGACTATGCCTTGGAGGTGATCTCCTCACTTCTTTCTGTTTTGGAGAATCTGAGTCTCCCATGGGGGAAGGGGAGGAGCATGCCCAGCATTACCCTGGTGGTCAGCAGAACTGGATCTAGAACCAGGTGATCTCTTTCTAAAGATCACATGGTCTAAGCTTCAGGGTCCTTCATCCATAAAATCGGCACATGGTACTAACTCCCAGTTATGGTTCTGCCTTCTACTGGCCACGCTGGTTCTCCAGAACACATCAGCAAAGGCATGCCCTCTTCTTGGGTATGCCATTTCTTCTGAATCTCTTGGTGCTTCCTTCTTCTGACAAACTAGGTGTGAAGAAACTCCAAGGCCTAGTAATGTTCCTCACTCTCTCAGAGCCTATGCCAGTCTCAGCAGAACACAGTGACCGTGGACCCTGGGGCAACTCACTCAACTTCTCTAAGCATTAAATCATTTCCTTTTTGAAAATGCATAATGCAACCTGACCTGCTGACTTCAAAGTGTAGTGAGGATCAGAATGTGATAATGTATGCCAAAGTGTCTGGCATTTAAATGGACCTAAATAAGAAGCAGAATGGTTTGAACCCTCCCTCCGATAGTTTGTCTCTGCCATGCATTTGAGACTGTAGCAATCAATATATACCAGGACAGCTGGAGCCTGTTATAACAGCCTTGAGGACATATATCTGGGACACCCAAATCACTAAATCCACAGTTTCTGCCTTTGTTGGAAGAGCAATTGATGGCTGTAACCAAACAAAGATCACGCTTTGGGGGCCTCTGCACAACTCTGCCTTCCAGAGTGTTCCTGCCCAATTGCGTGCTTCAATATCAGTGTCTCTTAACTGGTGACCACGAAACGAGGGATGGATCCTATCCAGAAGGTTTCTAGTTAGTCTCTTTGGAAGTGGGCCCTGGCTCCTTGTTTCTAAAGATCTATGTGCTATTTTTGAATACCTCTTCTTGGTCCCCTCAGGCCCACAAGGCCAGCACTCTCAAAGAGAACTTCAAGCTGCAACTGCCTCTCTCTCCATTAGACTGACCTCCAAATTGTATTTCAGTTTCTTGTTTAGAGTTTGGGGCTATGAAATTACAGCATGGTAGTAGGTTCAAGCATTTCCTCAAGGGTAACCTTGAAGTCCCCCGAACTTCTGAGTCTAAGGTGTCACTATAGAGAGAGTGATGCTGGTTATAACTGGGGGCTCGTTGTGGGTGTAGGTATTGGCACTCATTAAAAAAGGCGTTAAAAACACAGAAGTAACAGATGCCCTGTGATGGTTAATATTGAGTGTCAACGTGGTTGGATTGAAGGATGCAAAGTATTGTTTCTGGGTGTGTCTGTGAGGGTGTTGCCAAAGGAGATTAACATTTGAGTCAGTGGACTGGGAGAGGCAGACCCACCCTCAATCTGGTTGGGCATCATTTAATCAGCTGCTAGCAAGGCTAGGATAAAAGCAGGCAGAGGACCATGGAAAGACTAGACTGGCTGAGTCTTCCAGCCTTCATCTTTCTCCTGTGCTGGATGCTTTCTGCCCTCAAACATTAGACTCCAAGCTCTTCGGCTTTTGGACTCTTTGACCTATACCAGTGGTTTGCCCGGAGCCCTTGGGCCTTCCGCCACAGACTGAAGGCTGCACTGTCAGCTTCCCTACTTTTGAGGTTTTGGGACTCGGACTGGCTTCCTTGCTCCTCAGCTTGCAGATGGCCTATTGTGGGACTTCACCTTGTAATAATGCGAGTCAATACTCAATAAACCCCCTTTCATATATACATCTATCCTATTAGCCCTGTCTCTCTAGAGAACCTTGACTAATACATGTTCATTATGAGAATCTTGAAAAATACAGGAAAGGACAAAGCCGAAAAGTAGAAATCATCCATAGTCTCACACAGATCATCACTTTCTTATATTTTCTTAGAGTTCCTTTATGTTTAAAGCATGTGATATGGTTTGGATCTGTGTCCCTGCCCAAATCTCATGCTGAATTGTAATCCCCAGTGTTGGAGGTGGGGCCTGGTAGGAGGTGGTTGGATCATGGGGGTGGTCCTTCATGAATGGTTTAGCACCATCTCTTGGTACTGTTCTCCTAATAGTGAGTGAGTTATTGTAAGATCTGGCTGTTTAAAAGTGTGTAGCACCGGGCTGGGTAGAGTAGCTCATGCCTGTAATCCCAGCACTTTGGGAGGCCAAGGCAGGTGGATCATGAGGTCAAGAGTTTGAGACCAGCCTGGCCAACATGGTGAAACTCCATCTCTGCTAAGAATACAAAAATTAACTGTGTGTGGTGGCACGTGCCTGTAGTCCCAGCTACTCGGGAGGATGAGTCAGGAGAATTGCTTGAACCCAGGAGGCAGAGGTTGCAGCGAGCCGAGATCACACCACTGCACTCCAGCCTGGGCAATAGAGCAAGACTCTGTCTCTGGAGGGAAAAAAAGTGTGTAGCACCTCCCCTTCTCTCTCTTGCTCCTGCTCCTGCCATGTAAGACGTGTCTGCTCCTCCTTCACCTTCTGCCACGATTGTAAGTTTCCTGAGCCCACCCTAGAAGCTGAGCAAGATGCCAGCATCATGCTTTCTGTACAGCCTATGGAACTGTGAGCCAATTAAACCCCTTTTCTTTATAAATTACCCAGTCTCAGGTATTTCTTTATAGCAATGTAAGAATGGAGTAATGTAGCACATATGTGTATATACATTTTATATATATCAGTAGTGTGCTGTTAAATCAGCTCTTTTTAAAAAGTCCCTGGTTTATAGCACTTGCTGGGATCTGTGTTGTACATACTCTCACCATGGTGAATTTCAGGCAACCAACAGTTTAACAACTGACTTTCAAAATTTCTCAAGAATTAGCAATTGGCTTTTGAGGGCCAGTAAGAATCAGCTCCAAACACCAATGGTTGAGACTGTATGGTCTGTAGCTTTGTGCCCTAGTTTTTTTCATTTAATATTATGTTATAAGCTGTTTTGCAACCATCGTTGTAATAATTGATTCAGGAAAGGATCATCAATGGATGCACTGGGGGAAAGTTGTTGGGGAAAAGATATTCACACCATTTCAAAGTGTCATCCTACAGCTAAGTTGTGAATTTCAACGAGTTAAAAGTGCTTTACATTGGAGAGGTCTGGAAAAAGTCACTTTATGTGAGGGATCCAATATATCATCATGAATAATGGAACAACTTGACATTATGAATGTCTTCATGTAATACAAGAGAAAGAACAAACATTGTCTAGGTGGTCTTTTTGCTAAAAACGTTTAGCCCAAACATAGTTATAAAGAAACAATCAGATACCCAGATTGTGAGACTTTTGGCAAAATGAGCCTGAACTCAAAAAAAAAAAAGACTGGGGACTACTCTAGATTAACGTGACTAAATAGACATGACAACCAAATGCAATACATCATCCTTGAATGGACGCTGGATTTCTTGTTTTAAAAAGGAAAAAGCTACATAAACATTTTGGGGATAACTGGAGGAAGTTGAATATGGACTTCATATTAGATTATATTATTACATCAATATTGATGTCTGGGGTGTGGTATGGTAATACAGTTCATGTAGGCTAAGGTGTTCATTCTTAGGAAATGAGATGTTTGCAGTGCTTAGAGGTGAAGTAACACAGTGTCTGCAGTTTACTTTCAAATGATTCTGCGAAAACAAAACAAAACCCAGCAACAACAGAACATACATTCAAATATCAATGAGAGGGGAGCAAGCAAGCACGTAGCAAATGTTAACAATAAGTGAATCTAGGGGAAGGATATATTGGTATTCATATATATATGATTCAACTTTCCTCTCAGTTTGAGGTTGTTTATTAATACTAAAAAGGGAAATTATTATGATAGTTTTATTTTAAGATATGGTTATTATAATGATGCATATTATTCTACCATAAAAATGTGCTACAAATTATTTAACAAATTATTTATTAGCTATAGATTTATTTAACCGAATCTATTGCTAGATTACAGATTTTTACTTTTATGAACTGTGAACATCCTTGTAATGAAACCTTAGCATGCATTCATAATTGTTTCCTGTGTTAAACTTATTGTGCAGAAAGAAAAGAATTTTTTTTAAATTACAGCTCTGATGAAATGAATTCCTATGCTTTAAACTTTACAAGAGACTAACTTGTCAACTACATGCCAACTTATCAATGTGACAGAAGAAGACAATCACGGCCTTCTTTAGAGGGTTGGGTGAAGAGTAAGGATGCATGTCAGAGAAATTAAGATGTTCTACACAAGGAAATTTGGAGAACTGTGGTTCTGGTGGCACCTTAGAAGTCCTGGGTAGCTTGGAAACAATAATAGGCCCAGATCCTACCCCAGGATAGTTGAATCAGTGTCTCTGAGGGTGAGACTCTGCACTGGTTTACTTTGTAAGCTCCCCAGGGGATCATGAGATGCAGCCAGTGTTGAGAACAGCTGGTGTAGTAGGATTCAGAAAAAAAAAAGATCTGAGAGGTGGGAGGAAGCCAGGGTGATGGGAGGGAGATGAGAGAAGAGGCTAGGCAGCTCTAAAAAGGGGCTGGAGAGAGAAAACAGACATGATTAAGAGGGACTTGAGAATGTTATGTTGGGTGGGATATGATGTGACTTCCTTCTACTTCCCTTAGGGACCTGTAGTAAATTTATAATTACTCTTCAATGCTTTTGTAGTTGGGATTTTTTGGGGGGTGGGGGCGGAGGGGTGCTATTTAGACTTATTTCAAGGTGGGGACTGGTAGAGAGCAGGGGTGGTCTAAGGAGGATTTGGCACCTTCCAGTTACATCAGTTCCCTGTGGGAGGAGGAGTTCACAGGGCTGCACGCAGCAGCATCGTATTCTGTCTTGCTGCCTGCCCTTTGGGGCACAAGTCCACACAGTTGTCTCTGCTGGGTCATTTGCTCTCTTCTGGGCCAACCCATTGTCGAGGTCACAGAATTATAATAATTCTATTATTTTATTGTTAGATTTAAGAGATGCTCATCCCTTGATTTGATTAGAACACACCATGATTTCCAAGGTTATATTGATTCAAAGCCGATAAAGGTAACTTGAACTACAACAGAAATCTCTCTTCAGGAGGGCTCGTTTCAATCTTTTTTTCCCTACTCAAAGGGCATACTTGCTCATTGTGATGTTCTCCACCCTACAGTGTAAAAGGCAGATAGGCTTCACATTCGGAAGATATACCAGGGATTTTTTTTTTCCTGTAACCTCATATTAGAAGTGAAATACCTGGGAATGTTAAGCAGTGATTTGTTTTGATAGTTTTTCACCTTCATTTTTGCATCTGCATCAAAAAACTAAAGAATATCTTCTTTCTCCATAAGTGTCTGCTAAGGCAGTTGCCAAGAGGTAAGAAATAGGGGTTTACCTGTAAGTTCTCTATCTATCTATCTATCTATCTATCTATCTATCTATCTATCTATCATCTATCTATCTATCTCTTTTTTTACCACAATTTCCTTTTTAGGACACCAGCCAAAAATAAGACATGTGAACTTCTTCAATGAAAGCATCACGTGTCTTTTATTTTCTTCCATAAAAAGCTCATGATTCTTTCTTAATAACAACATGTAGATGAAAGCTGAAATGTATGGTTTTTAAAAATAAAAGACCATTTCAGCTAGTGCAACTTAAGAAACAAAATATTGTATTATGTGGTCAACTTAGTCTTCCTTTTCTTTTTCTCTTTGTGACAAGGTCTTGCTCTGTCACCCAGGCTAGAGAGCAGTGGCATGATGGCTCACTGCAGCCTTAATCTCCTGGGCTCAATGATCCTCCTGCCTCAGCCTCCTGAGTAGCTTGGACCATAGGCATGGTCTCAGATTCCTGACCTCATGCAATCCTCCTGCCTTGGCCTCCTAAAGTGCTGGGATTACAAGTGTGAGCCACTGTGCCCAGCCTCAGTCTTCCTTTTCTTGTTTGTTCAGAGATAAAAAGGGAAAGCTGAGATGCATTTTCTACCTTATCAATTCTTAGGCAATTTATCATTTTGTAATTAATTAGAACAAAGATAAAATGCTATTTTAAAAATATATAGAAGATATTTCTACTCTAAAAGGATTTTGAAGGCTGCTTGCGACTAAAATTCATTGAATCTAGGTCAGGGTCACACACTCAAATGCCCACGGGGACTGTGCAAGAAAAACAACTGAGCAAGTTTGACATTAAATGACCTCTGGAACTCTTGGTATTAGAGGTGCAATAGGGAGTGCTGGAGACTGTGGAAAACTGGAAGGGATTAGCTGTGTCTAAAGGGGAAGTCACTTCTCAACTTCAACATAGCATTTTGTTTTGTTTTATTTTAGTAAGAGGCCAGAATTTTGTATTTTTATGTGAAGCCTCTTAATCCATAATTGTTGGTCTATAATTCAATAGTATGTGGGTCAAGAAAAACTAGTTTGGGGCAATGTTTGGTTCTCAGGTTGCCAGTCTGATATACCTTATCGGGTAGGAAAAGTTGAAGTAGAGTTTTGGCAGAAGGGGGCGAATGCACAGGGCATTCTGGAAGAATATCTGGAGGGCTTGTTAAGGGACAGGATGCAAAGGGAAGAAGAGCCTGAAGGCCTGGGAGGACTTAGGATTGTGGAGAGCTTGCTTTGGTGAAAGGTGTGTGTGTGTGTGTGTGTGTGTGTGTGTGTGTGTGTGTGTGTTTGTGTTGGGAGGGGATATGTAGACAGAGCAGGCAGGGAACCAGAGGAAAATGAGTTCAATTTTAACAAATTGCACTTGAGAGGTCATGACTGGGAGTATACAAGAGGAAAGAACAAGGAGGATGTAATTAACCTTGAACTCAATATGTGCCTACAGCATTACGGAGCTGCATGTGATACATGATCAGATTCGGTATCTGCATTATCAAGGAGGCATTTGTCTGTACTCGGTCTTGCTCTCTGCACTCATCAGTGGATTGTGTTCTATTCTGGATATTACTTTTAAAAAATGCTCTTTTCTCTTAAATTACAGAAGCAATATGTGTATCATTGCAGAAAATTAAGAAAATGCTGAAAATTGAAAGAAGGAAAATTGCCTGTAATCCTAGCTCCTATAATAACTATTGATGGCTTCCTATATATCCTTCTAGTCTTTTTTCCTATACATATATACTTAAATACTTCATAAAATTGGAATCATATTATAAATACTACATTACAATCTGCTTTTTCCACTAACATGTCTTGGACATTTTCCCATATCAATAAAATAAAATAATCTGCCACAACTTGATTTTTCATGGTTATTTTAGCATTTATTCCATTTGATGGAAATATCAAAATTTATACCTAATAGGCTACTGTTGGACACATGCTGCTTCTCCATCATAAACGAAGTCATCTCTAATGCTAAATCTTTGCACATATGCTTGGTTATTTTCTTAGGATAAACTCCTAGAAAAGACAATTGTTAGGGATATCAAAGGAAGAAGGCAATAGTGAAAACTTGAAACAAAAAGCAGGATTTACTGTTTGTAAAGTAAGAGAAAATTGTGCTTTGAGACAGTCTTTCTGAACAAAGTTTGGAGGAAGCACGGAATTCAAGGATTAATAGAATTTCAAGAGTGAGAATTAAGGGATTGGCTGACCTTAAATTGAGGAGGTGTGGTTATTAGAGTGCAGCTATTGCTGATTGGATGGCAGAAGCATATAGCTATCTTTGATTGGCTGACTTTCAGAATCATGTGCCATTTATGATTGGCTGATTCAGGAGCATGGATTTCAGTGAGACTGAAGACAAGGTAGCACGTCAGGTTTTAAATCCTTTGTGCTGCTTAGTTGTTACTATGGCTGGAGAACAAATAGCCTTTTCTTAGAAAAGAGGGACTTTTAATTTTCAAGTCAAAGGGCAATATTGCCAAACTGTTGGCACAATATTTGAAGCAATATGTGCACAGACTAAAAGCCTCTGGAAGAGATTGATACTGGTGGGAAGACTGGAGGCCTTGCTATAGGAGGGAAAGTGTGAGGAAGGTGATGGTGACTAGCTTGGAGTAGAGAAGACCAGGGCAGGCATGATCACTGACTACAAAGCCTATCACTACGCAAAGGCACACTGGGCTCTTTTCTTTTCTTGACAGAATCTCGCTCTGTCGCCCAGGCTAGAGTGCAATGGTGCGATCTCTGCTCACTGCAGCTTCCGCTTCCCAGGTTCAAACCATTCTCCTATCTCAGCCTCCCAAGTAGCTGGGATTACAGGCGTGCACCACCATGCATGGCTAATTTTTTGTATTTTTAGTAAAGACGGGGGTTTCACCATGTTGGTCAGGCTGGTCTTGAACTCCTGACCTCAAATGATCTGCCTGCCTTGGCCTCCCAAAGTGCTAGGACTATAGGCGTGAGCCACCACGCCCGACCCAGACTGTGCATTTTTCTAACAGTGGAAGCTCTCCAGCTTTGAAATAGGGGCATCATTAAAGACAGAGTCCTCTGTATTCAAAAAGAGATTTGTCATACAGGTTGGTTAGGAGTCTGGGGTTTGGATTCAGTGGAACTTTGAATCCTCGCTGGGCCACTTGTCATCTCTGTGACCTGGGACAGGTTATGAAAGCTTTCTGAACCTGAATATTTTTCTTATCAAGGGAGAAAAATAACACAATCTCTCTCATTATGCAATCTAGGCATAGCATGGTAAGTCACAATTCTAAAGACTTGGTGTGTTCTTTGCTCGTTGATGACTTGGAATTTCAGTGAATAGTATTGAGAGCACACAGCAATGTGCCAGTTGCTGTGCCCTCCAGGGAATTATAGAGGGACAAAGATGTGATCCCTGTCCACAAGAGGACAATGGAGAGACAAGAGGGAAGGTGCTGCACATAGCACAGAGATGAGGGGGTTGATGGGGGGATTTGCTACAAAGTAAATAAGGGGGCACAAAAATGTATATAAACAAATATATTTGCAAATGAACAACAATAACAGAAAGAAAGAATGAAAGAAAGGAAGAAAGACACAAAAATGCTTACATTTGTTTGGAAAATTTCCTTTTGTTTTCCAATTTTTATGCAATATTAATGCAGCTATGTGAAGAAATTTTATTATCTGGCCACCGCTAAAGAGGACATAGAAAAGAGGAAAGAATGAGGAGGGACAAGGGGACCACATTTGGATTACATTATATTTAAAAATAACTTTATTTTTCAGTACTATTGAGAAACCCATATTTGGTGACATGAGTGGATCTTAAGGATAAATTTAGCATGCTACGATCTGCAAATAACTTTTAATCCGTTAGTTACATCAGTATTTTTGTAGCCAGTGAGTGGTGCTGATTTATGTATGCTTTTAAAGAAAGCATTTAGAGAAATGTCATTTCCAGTCATTGAAACAACAAGCTTGAGAATTTTTAGATTCACAAAAAGCTATTTTCTGAGGGTGGTTAGATTTCGAAATGTAACCTTCATGCAAAAATATAGAAATGTTCCAAGTCACAAAATAAAGCTTATGGGTCAAAGACCACATTCAAATAGAGCTTTTAATAAATATTTTAGTGAATGAAAAATTACTCAGTAGATATTGATGGAGAACAGTGGTTGACTGTGTCCCACGATGTGAGCTGGGGATACCTATGCTTGGTATTGTTAGACTTTACACCCCTTTTTTTTTTCTGGAGGGATTTAAATAGAGTTCATTGTCACCAGGTCTGCAAAATTTTAGAGGGCATTCTTGCTATGGGTGGGAACTTAAATCAGACAGCTGTGATTCTGTGACATGGCAGTTTTTGCTAATCCCAAGGCATGGCTTTGTTTACAGCCAGATGAGAAAGAAGCATGTATATCTTGACTGGTTTTATTCTTACTCCTGAATTTCTTACTTGAGGAATAATGGAGTTGAGGCAGACATGCTATAGGCGTACCATGGCCAAGTTAAAGCAGTAGGCCTCTCAGCAGGATGCCATGACTGACATGTCATCCTAGCTTGGTTCTTCGAAAGTTCTTTGTTTTCGCTTTCTATCTTGATGAAAAAAATTGGCAATTTTTACCTATCCCAGAAAAAAATTTAGAATCATGAATTATGTTTGGCATTCATTGACATTTATGGGGGCTGGATAGCCTGTTGGAAATGATCTCAAATTGTATTTATACTTGGGGGTTCAGACATACAGGAAGATGGGGGGGGAAGCCAACAGACACTTAATGGCAAAGGAAATGGATATTTGAGAAATTGGAAAAGAGTCCACCATGGGGAAAGGAGGACTCAGCCGTGGTGAGACTGACTCAGCAACAGGGTTGAGGGTTGAAAGGGACCATCATCTTATTAACCACAGGATTTTCCTTTGACTTGAACCTGCCTGAGCCTGGCTACCCTGGAAGTATGTATGTGACTTGGGAAAGAAGGGGCTGTATGTGTCTACCTCCTGGGAACTGGAACAGCTCTAGCAGAGTGCACCATTCTTCAAGAGACAGGTGAGCACTGGCACCTAGAGGAACAGTAGAAAGGTCAGGCTGAGCACTGTGGTGTGGTCAGCAGCCAATGGGCCTGAAGATGGGTGGACAGAGTGAGTGGTGACAGTGGCAGGGTCATGAGCTTGGTGTTGAAAACCTGGGGTGGGAACCTAGGGTGTAAGCACCAGAGATTTTATTTGCATATTCCCATCTCCAGTGAATTTGCTAGCCATTCCACTTTCCTTTTCTGTAAATTGCATCTTCATACCTGTTAACCCAAAATACCCAAGACAGGTCTCAGTCCATTTAGAAAGTTTCTTTTGTTAAGGTTAAGGACGTGCCCTGAGCCTCAGGAGGTCCTGATGACATGTGCCCAACGTGGTCAGGGCACAGCTTGGTTTTATACATTTTAGGGAGACCTGAGCCATCAGTCAATATATATAAGATGAACAATCTTACAATCAATATATGTAAGATTTGTTACGTCTGGAAAGGCAGGAGAACTCCAAGCGGGGAGGGGGCTTCTGGGTCATAGGTAGATAGGAGAAAAATAGTTGCATTCTTTTGAGTTTCTGATTAGCCTTTCCAAAGGAAGCAATCAGATATACATTTATCTCAGTGAGCAGAAGGATGACTTTGAAAAGAATGGGAGGCAAGTGTGCCCTAAGCACTTCCCAGGTGGACTTTTCCCTTTAGCTTAACGATTTTGGGGTCTCAAGATTTATTTTCTGGGGGGAGGGATAGCATTAGGAGATATACCTAATGTAAATGATGAGGTAATGGATGCAGCACACCAACATGGCATATGGATACATATGTAACAAACCTGCATGTTGTGCACATGTACCTTAGAACTTAAAGTATAATAAAATATATATATATATATATATAAAGATTTATTTTCCTTTCACATACCCTTTGCCCATTTTTTACTCTTGAGCTTGTCTTTTTGCTGTTGTTTAATAATTCTTTTATGAATTCTGGAGACTAATCCCTCATCAGTTAAATGTGTTGCAACTATCTTCTCCCAGCCTGTGGCTTGTCTTTCTCTTTTGTTTATAGTAGCTTATGATGCAGGATGTTTTAATTTTAATATTGTCAGTTTTATCAATCTTTCCCATTATACTTTGCATGTCTTTTTAAAGACATTCTTCCTATTCCCAAGGTCATAAATACTTTATCCTATATTTTCTTGCATATTTTTAGCAATGTGCATTCTTCTGTCACTAGCTCATCATGATTTTGAAATTCGTTTGTGGTCATGAGTGTAGCTGTGGTTAATCATTTTTACTAACCCACAGTATTCCATCGTATGAATAGATCATGATTTATTTATCCATTCTATCAATAGACATTTCATTTGTTTTTATTTGATTTGATTTTTTTTTTGGCTACTATAACAATGCTGCTAACAGCATTCTTCTACTGTCTCTTGGGGCATGTGCAGAAGTTTCTGAGGGTGGAATTGTTGGGTCATAGGTGTGCATTTTATTTTATTTATTTATTTTTGAGATGGAATTTTGCTCTTGTTGCCCAGGTTGGAGTGCAATGGTGCCATCTCAGCTCACTGCAACCTCTGCCTCCTGGGTTCAAGTGATTCTCCTGCTTCAGCCTCCCAAGTAGCTGGGATTACAGGTGTGCGCCACTACGCCTGGCTAATTTTTTGTATTTTTAGTAGAGATGGGGTTTCACCATTTTGGCCAGGCTGGTCTTGAACTCCTGACCTCAGGTGATCTGCCTGCCTCAGCTTCCCAATAGGTGTGCATTTTAAACTTTACTAGGTGAGGAAAATTGTTTTCCAAATTAGTATATCAAGTTTCACTCTCTCCAGAAATGTGGAGGCGTTTACATGACCTTATGTAGTTGCCAGCACTTATCTTTATTATTTCCTTCCTTCTGCTTTCATTAAGTTTACTCTGTTTTTCTTTCTCAATTGTCTTGGGTACTTTGCTGACTAATTTTCAGTCTTTTTTTCTAATATAAGCATTTAAGGCTATAAATGTGCCTTTACTGATTTAGCAGCATCCTGTAAGTTTCACTTTGTTTTTAAATGAATTTTTAAATGCAGTCTCTAACTTATAGAAAAGTTCAACGTAAAGTGCAGAGTATTTCGGATGGAGTGCCAGAGACTAACTAGAGTAAGAAAGGTGTCTGTCTCTTTTGGAGGAGAGGCAGTAACAGTGGTGAGCGGTATTGACAAGGGGGAATGAATGGAATGCAACCGTAGACTAAGGACAAGGAGAGCCAGGCTTCTTGCTGTTGGAGAAGGGAAGTCCACATATGGAAAGGGAAATACGTGAATGAACCCTGGGTGTAAGATTGGAATTGTATTGGTGTGGCATTCATGGGTGTCCTCTTCACCCAGAGTGACACCTCCTGTCAGGTATGCCCCGTATATGAATGCCATCCTCACCACATTTGGGCTTCTACACCACACACTGGGCTGCTTGCTCGCACAGCTGCCCTCTCCCCCAGCTTGGGCTCTGACTCCCCATGCTGAGCCGCCCCCCTGCATGGATGTGCTTCTCCCTCCTCTGAGGATGTGGTGCTGGTTCCAGGCCACCCCTCCGAGTGGGTATGTGTCAGTTACCTTGCTCTGTCCATCCAATAGCTTAGCACTGAGTGGATCAGGAAGGAAGAGAAGGGAAAAGGCACCCATGCCATAAGTTTTGATACACAGGATTTTCACTGTCATCCAATTTTAAATATTTTCCAACTTTTGATTTTTTCTTTAACTCATGAATTATCTAGAAGTTTGTTTTAAAAGCGTTTCAAAATGTATGGCATTAAATTTAGTTATCTCTCTGTTCTTGATGTCTATTTTAATTGCCCTGTTTTCAAATACAGGGTTTATATGATACCGATTATGGTTTTTATTATGATTTTCTTTATGCCTAGTACATAATAAGTGTTAGCAAATATTTTATGTGTTCTTGAAAAGTATTTCTCTATGTGTTGGGTACATAGTTCTATATATGTCCATAGATTAAGCGTAATTGCATTCTTCAAATAGTCTATGTCCTTACTAAATTTTTGTCTGCTTAATATATCAGTTACTGAGAGAAGTGTAATAAAAATCTTCCATCATGATTGAGGATTTAGAAATTTCTTCTTGTAACTCTATTGCTTTTTGTTTTATAAATTTGGATACCAAATTTATTATATGCCTACAAACTTATAATTCTTATAGCTTCCTGGTGAGCCACTCCTTTTATAATTAGGTACTTCTTCATATTTGCAATAATGCTTTTTATCTTCAAGTTTAATACAGATACAGCAGCTTTTTGGGGGGTGAGAGGTTAATATTTCTAGGTATATCTTTTCCAGTCTTTTATTTTTAAGGTTTCTCTTTCTTGTTTTGACTATTTCTCTTATAACTATCACACACTATCGATGTGAATTTATAAATTTCTTATAATTCTATCACTTTTTGCTTTATGTACGTATTTTTTAAACCAAGTCTGGCAAACATTTTAGGTATTGAGTTTAGACTTTTAATATTTGGATTCATTACTGATGTCATTATTGTTTTTGCCATCTTATGATAGGCTTTCTTTATCTTGCTTTTCCTCTTCCTCTTTTACTTTCTTTCCTGCCTTCCATTGTCTTAATATAGTTTTTTTTTTAAATTTCCCTCTACATCTTAAGCAGATGAAATAATGGAGCCATATGAAATTGCTAATATTTGACCATTTTTGCCTCATAAAACAGAAATTCCATATAGTTCAAACTATAAACTCTGTAAGTGCCAATATATATCAGCGTTTAACTATTAGCAGTTCTGATATTAGCTAGCTAGCATTATTTCATTTGATTATCAAGAAAACCCTGTGGCATTTATTACTAGGCATGGGAAATCCTTGTTGCTCTTTAGTTTAGTTCTCAGCTTCTTCTTACTCAGAATACCGGCTTCCTTAAGATCTATTAAAGCTCCGAAACTGAAAATACACATTTTTTTTTTTTTTTTTTTTTTGAGATGGAGTCTAACTTTGTCGCCCAGGCTAGAGTGCAGTGGTGTGATCTCAGCTCACTGCAACCTCCGCCTCCCAGTTTCAAGTGATTCTCCTGCTTCAGTCTCCTGAATAGCTGGGATTACAGGCCCATGCCACCATGCCCAGCTAATTTTTGTATTTTTAGTAGAGACGGGATTTCACCATGTTGGTCAGGCTGGTCTCAAACTCCTGACCTCAAGTGATTCGCCCACCTCAGCCTCCCAAAGTGCTGGGATTACAGGTGTGAGCCACTGTGCCCGGCCCCATACGGTTTTTATCTTACATTTTTTCCACTTAATGATCTATTACGACAATTTTTCCCATATCCGTTATTTGCAATGTCTATGTCATAGTCTATCGGTGGCCATGAACTTGTTCCCATTGCTTTGTTATTATCTGTAATGCTTTGTGCACTTTTACAATTCCTTTCTTAGGATAAATTCCTTGAAATAACTCATCAGAAGGAAGAACCATTTTAAAGACCTTGCCAGGTGTTTCTAAGTTGCCCTCCTGAAAGGTCATGCCTTTGTGTGGACATTCTCCAGCAGAGTGTGAGGATGGCCAGAGAACAGTCCAATAGCTCCCTTCCCAAGATCAAATCGACTCCAGCAGGATCAGTCTTCTGGTAGAGCCCTGGCCAGGTCCTGGGAGAGAGGCAGGGGGTCTGGTCTGTTGTGGCCATGGGTCTTGGGAGCACTGGGTGGCTTGGGACTGAGATCTTAGGGTGAGAACCCCGGAGACTCTCCTCAGGTTCCCATCAGCTTGTCCCTGCAGTGAGCTCAGCACACGGGCTCCCTGCTATAGCCAGACAGGCATAGCTCAGAGAGGAGGAGAAGCAAAGATGTCTCAGCTGTGCAGGCCCCTCACTCCTGGGGGCCATAGGGAGACTGGGTGCTGGGACCCTTGGGGAGGACCTTCAACCCCTGTATTAGAAGCACATTCCGCCCCTTCAGTGGTGGGCGGGGAGCAGCAAAGTGGGCCCTTGTGTTTGTCTTCCCAAAAAGCAAGTTTGTGTCTGTTCTGCCACTATCTGCTGATTCAGTGGGTGATTTGCATCCTTCGGAGGTCCAGGCTCTTCTCTTCCATCTGGGGCTCTTCTCCTGGAGAGAGAGGGGAAAGCGAGGGCCGGGTCAGGGGCTGCCGCGCTGCCAAGATACGGCCCGCAGGAATCTGCTGGGCAGGGGCTGGGATCTGGGCCGGGAGGGGTGCGGGGGACTCGCAGTCCTGCCGTCGCCCGCGCACAAAGCCCGCCCTTGTTTGGCTGCCTCGGATGCTTGCCCTGGGTTCAGACCTCCCAGTGTCCTGTGTGGCCCGCGCGTGGGGCCGCGTGTCCTGACCACGCCGGGAAGGTATGTGCTGCCCGCCGCGGACCCCTGGACCGCGGGAGGGGCACGCTCTGCCCAGGGCTTGGGGCCCTGCCTTGGGCTCTGCTCGGGCATGGAAGGCCAGGCCTAGACCCTGACTGCTTGACCCCCACAGATGGGTTTCTCGAGCTGAGGGTCACGGGCGTCCGCCACCTGAGAAGGCAGTAAAGGTGTTGCCTTTGTCATGGTCACTCTGCAGTGGGTGCCGGGGGAAGCGTGAGGGGCATGCCAGGGTGCCAGGGTGGGGCTGAGGTGGCCGTGGGAGCCTCGCCCCTTCCCGTGTGCTGTTTTGATGTCATGCCCCATCTGGGCCGCCGCTGGGCATGCCGGCCAGACTCATTCTCAGACGGAGGCTGTAGATGCCAGGGGTTTTAGTCCGGGTGGATATTAGATTGGCCAACCACACCTTCCTACGTGTTCCTCCCTCCAATACCTGCTCATTAACCACCCCCCACCACCTCCCCTTTCACCAGAAGGAGTCCTGTGCCACATTCCAGAGCAGGGCAGATGCCATCCACTCACTCCTGAGGGGGAGGTCCGCAGCCCTGTGTGGTGTTTCTTAGACTTTCACAGGCTTACAATGGTGGGCAAATCCATCCTTCCACAGTTTCTCCACTAGCATCCATTTACTGAGCGCCTGCTGCATGCCAGGCACATTTCCAAGTGTGCGGAGTCCATCAGAGAGCAAGGCAGACCAGTCCCTACCCTTACACACACCATGGCCCAGCTCCAGAGTGACACTGCTTTTGGCACATCTCTCCTTACAGATTCAAACATAACAGGTACGCCAACAGACTGCCAGACTCGTGTCTGGATTTTCCAAGGATCCTCTTATCGGAGATTGGCAAAGAGCACTGCAGAGGAAAAGAAAAAAAATTGAAATCCTAGTAAAGTGAGAAGAAACACATGTGAAAATGGCACTCACACTAAATTAGCATTAAATCAAACTGGGGCCTGCTTAGAAACCAGTGCAGACCTGCTATTTCTCGCTAAGTCCTGTTATTTTAACTCAGCAAATTCAAGCAAGATTTCACATTCCCATCAGAGGGCAGGAAAGAAGAAAATTGTGATTCTCAAGGGCAAGGCTGAAGCTGTTTGCTGAGTAGGCTGGGGTTGGAGGGTGGAGGGGAGACGACATTAGGGTTGGGGTAATCTGAGCACAAGGACATGGGTGACAAGACCGCAGGCTGAATTCTCTGTCCACAAACTCCATTCTCATCTTGTTCCCTGATTCTGTCTCAGTTCACATTTCTCCCTTGGTCACAAACCTTCAATGGCTCCCCATGACCACTGAATTAAGTATAAACATCCCACAGCCCTCCACAGCATGATCTCCAATCTATCTTTTCAGTTTGCATGATGTTTCACACCTGTGGCTCCAGCCAAAGATGATAACTCGTAGATTTGCTGCCTGTGCACCCTTCTGCTTTTGCACTTGATAATCATGGTGGCCAATACTTGCTCAGTGCTCACTGTGCTAGGTCCTGAGCTTCCCTTATCCCAATCCTACAAGAAAGGACATAGTGTTACCTGCTTTTTTACAGACGCGTTCCTCAGAAGAGTTCCTGACCTGTCCAATGGGAATTGGAATACAGGCCTCTCTGTCCCCACAACCTAAACCCTTGACTATGATGTAGACCTTTGGTGGAATCATGGTGCTGGGTCCTGTGCTGTCTCTATTAAATGGCTTTACGAAAATTCTAGAAGTTTGGGGCAAGGTGCCGAAAGCAAGAGATGAGACCAGTTGGTCTGGATCTCTCAGGAGATCCCAGACTCTCCTGTTAGACCTTCCCTTCTCCTCAACACAGGCTCATAACCCCCATCCATCCCCATTCTTCTCCATTATGCCTCACCTTCTCCACTAGCCACACACAGCTGGCTCAATAGACCACAAGGTTCTGGACCTTCCCTTCCCAAGCGCCCCATTTTGCAGAGACAGAGCCATGATTCAGGGGGAAGGTGTACTGTGCTCTCTCGGGCTCTGCAGAAATCCTCGCATTGGTCAAGCAGTACTTCTGTTACAATTTAAGATAACTGACTCTTCTTGACCCCTTGCAGTGATAGAGGGAGAGGGAGAGAAGGGTGATGGCCCAGATGTTGTGGCCACAGGAAGAAGCCCCCCACCTTCTTGGGGACACTCGTTCCCCATGCAGCTGGAAAGAGGGAAAGGTTGCAGCCTTCTTGGTTTTTTCAAGGTCTTGGGAAGTCCAAGAGAGTAGAGTAGGTCGTGGGCTGCTGGAAGGCCATTTGTCACAGGCCTTTCCTGGGCTTTGCCCACTGCCTGTTAGACCCACAGGTCAAGTGAGGCAGTTGAGAAAAAAATCCTCATTGTGAAGTGTCTGTGGCCCTACTCAGATGAGAGAATGGCCCCCTTTCAGCAGCCCCACTTGGAGCCAGGACAGTATTCCCAGAGGGCCAGGTCGGTGAATGGTCATCTGTCTGCCCAGATGGACCGAGGCCTGGCCTGCCAGGGAGGAGACGCAGGTTCTGGTTTCTGTTTGTGAATTCAGGGGCTCTGGAATACTTCAAAAAATAAACACCTATTTATTGAGCTCCTACTGTGTGCAGGGCACTGTAGGGAACACAAAGAAGCACTGACTTGAAAACCACAGATCAGAATTTATCCATGCAAATGAGCTTGCTCCCTAGGGAGGCTGGATACTCGTAGATCCAGTGAGCCCGCCACTGTTCGAGGAACCAACCCCTGCCCATCCCTGCTCCAAACTATTTTGAGTTTTCTCAGTGGAGATGGTTGATGTTTTAAGATTAAAAATAGCTAATAGTCATTAGCTTATTCATTCTTTGCCTATGAGCCATCTTTGTTCTTGCTGCTTGGAGATGAGAATATCCTGACAGTGTTCAGTCTGCCAGGGGTAATCAGCAGGTCAGCCAGGCCAGTGACCAGCTGGGCTTGACAGTGATCCCCTCCAAGCGGCCCCTGGCTCATCTGCTGTGAGAGTGACCCCAGGCCTTGAGAGTGCAAGAACATGGCTCATGCCAGGTATAAAGCAGCAGGCAGGTAATGCCAATGCCCAGGAGGTAAGTGCATGGCAGGCATCCTGAGATGCTGGGGGAGCAGAGAGGAGGGGACCCTCACCTCACATGGAGGGCACAGTAAATCAGCCAGGGCTTGCCTGGAGAGGATCACAATTGCCAATGCTTACTGAGCACTCTTTATATACTAGGCATGGTGCTAAGTGCTCTAAGTGGATTAATTATCTTGCTCTATCATTGCAGCCTTTCAAGGGAGATACAATAAACTCCCCTTGTCCACATTTTACCTGTGAGGAAACTGAGGCATAGCAAGGTTAAGTAACTTGTCCAAGATCACACAGCAGGGAAGCAGATTCAAACCCAGCTGATCTGACACCCAAGTCTCCCTGTTTAACAGCCACACTGCTGCTTCCAGAAGGAAGGGGAGAAGGCAAAGGGCTCATCAGTAAAGGACAACTCATATTGTTGAGACTAGTTTTTTGGTTCTGAAGACAGTTCCCAAAGAGGTCTGTGAGCCATAGCAATGTCACTAGATGGAGTGTGTACAGAATCTTGGAGGAACCCAGCTTTTGGAGACAGACAAACGTGAGTTTGCATCTTGGCTCTTAAATTTCTTGCTGAGGGACCTCAGGCAAGTTCCTTAAACTCTGAGCATTTATTTTCTCATCTCTAAAGTGGAGCTATTGACACTAATTTGGCAGCATTCTTTTTTTTTTCTTTCTTTTAGTCAGGGTCTCACTCTGTCCCTCAGACTGGAGTACAGTGACTCAATCTTGGCTCACTGCAGCTTCAATCTCCCAGGCTTAAGTGATCCTCCCACCTCAGCCTCCCAAGTAGCTGGGACTATAGGTGTGTGCCACCACACCCAACTAATTTTTGTGTTTTTTGTAGAGATGGGATTTCACCATGTTGTCCAGGCAGGTCTTGAACTCTGTTGCTCAAGCAATCTGCCCACCTTGGCCTCTCAAAGTGCTAGGATTACAGGTGTGAGCCACCACGCCTGACTGGCAGTGTTCTTATGAGGACTGTTCAGTCTGCTATTACAGAATACCATGGACTGCGCAACTTAACAACATTTACTTCTCACAGTTCTGGAGGCTGGAAGTCCAAGATCAAGGTGCTAACAGATCCAGTGTCTGGTGAAGGCTTGCATTCTGGTTTGCAGATAGTGGTCTCCTCTTTGTATCTTCACATGAACAAGAGAGAAATCATTTCTATCCTATCTCTTCCTTACAAGGGCACTAATCCCACTTGTGAGGGCTCCAACCTCATGATCTCATCACCTCCCAAAGGCCCCACCTCCTAACGTCATCACACTTGGGGTTAGGATTTCAACCTCCGAATTTTGGGGGACATAAGCATTCAGTCCATAACAAGGACTAAAAAGGATATTTTATGTAAAGCATTAGGTAGAGTAACCACTCAGTGAATATCAATTTCCCTTTCTCTTCTTAACAAAGTTATCTGGAGCTCTTCATTTTGTTTTTTTTATTTTTGTTTTTGTTTTTGTGTTTTTGAGACAGGGTCTTGTTCTGTCTCCTTTGTTGGAGTGCAGTGGCAAAATCTTGGCTCACTGCAGCCTCTACCTCCTGGGCTCAAGCCATCTTCCCTGCTCAACCTCCCAAGAAGCTGGGACTACAGGTGCACGCCACCATACCTGGCTCATTTTTTGTATTTTCTGTAGAGGTGGGGTCTTGCCATGTTCTCAGGCTGGTCTTGAACTCCAGGGCTCAGCCTCCCAAAGTGCTGGGATTACAGACTTGAGCCCTCATGCCCGTCCTCCTGGTTCTTGTTAACATCTGGCAGTAAGTGAGCTCTGGTCTGGGAGAAATTGCCAGACAGAGAAGAAGAGAGAGGAGGCTGAAGGTGAGCCTCATTTCTCTGAGCCTCAATTTCCTCAGATAAGCATCTATCTTGTAAGGTTGTTGTGAGAATACAATGGGATGATACATAGAAAGCATTTAGAACACTCCTGGTACATTTTGGATGGAGCCATATGAAATTGCTAATATTTAACCATTTCTGCCTCGTAAAACAGAAATTCCATATAGTTCAAACTATAAACTCTGTAAGTGCCAATATATATCAACATTTATTAGCAGTTCTAATATTAGTTTTCATGTTTTGCACATACAGAGTCCACCGAGGCAGCTGGGAGCTCTAACTTCCCTCTAGTACTAGAATTGGGATCTCTGGTGTTTCCCTTTCTTTATAGGTGTGGGAAGGCCCCATGGCCTGGGGTGAGTCAGCAAGGGTCCCACTCAGGACTGACCCCAGGTCCTGCCCTTCTCCTCCCATGACTGGCTTACCTCATGCCCTGTTCTGGGTGGGGTCTGGAATGCTCTGCTCTCCTAGAGTCAAATGCCACGTCCTGCTGAGCTCAGGAGGAATTTCACAGCCTCTGTACAGACCCAGCCCATCAAGGGACCTGACCCCTGGCCTCTCTCTGAGGACTGCTCACCTTGTCTGCTGGATCCCCTGAGCTCAGTGGGAGGAGGAGGGTTATGGCCATGATGGCTCACAACAGTCTCCATGGCTCCTGTCTCCAGATTCCTGGATGTTTACACATGTGATTTGGGCTGCTTTCTTGGCCTGAAATCCTGCTAAGGAAGCTCTAGCAGCTTTTGTCTCTTACCTTCCTCCTTTTCCAAAGATAAACCCCGATACAGAACACACCAAAAACAAAGTCAAAGACAATTGGCACATTGCAGGGAAACGTTTGCAATCTGTATCACAGAGAAAGGGTTCACATATAAAGAGCTCTTGGAAATAGAGAAGAAAAAGAGGGCAAAAACCTAAGAAAAAAATGAGTAAAAGACATGAGCAGACATTTCATAACAAAAAGAAAGGCACGTGGCTCTTCAACACTCAAAACTCTGTTCAGTCCCACAATTAGAGAAATGCATATTAAAATGTCATTGAACTACCATTTCTCACCTACCAAACTGATAAAAATCCAAAAGCTTGACATTCACTCTGTGTATCTGCTGTCACACACATTACTGGTTGGAATGCAAAATGGAGAATTTGGCAATGTCTAACCAAAAGGCATATACAATTACCCTTGACCCAGCTATCTCATTCCAGGAATCTATCCTGAAGATATTACTCCACCAATAAGTGCATGGTTATTCATCGTGGCATTATTTGTTAAAGCAAAAGATGGAAAGCAACTCAAATGCCCCTCAACAGGGGTACTGGTTGAATATATTGTGGTTCATTTGCATACTGAGTACTAGGCAGGCTGATAAAAGAATGAGGAAAGTCTCTATGAACACGTACTTGTACAGTGGTCTCTGGGATGCACTGTTAAATGAAAAAGCAAGATGCAAAGCAGGGTGTATATGGTTATCTTTTGTGTAAGAAACAAATACAAATAATAATATTTATATATTTGCTTAGTTTGCAAAATAGAAACTAAGGAAAATAATTGCATGTTCAGTGGGGATGGGGTTCTGATGAGTAGAGTGGAGAAGATAAAGATGAAGGAAAACTTTTCTGAGTGCACATTTCATATAATTCTACCTTTTTTTCTTTTTGAGACAGAATCTTGCTCTATAGCCCATGTTGGAGTGCAGTGGCACTATCTCAGTTCACTGCAACCTCTCCCTCCTGGGTTTAAGTGATTCTCAGCCTCTGGAATAGCTAGGATTACAGGGGTGGGCCACAACTTCTGGCTAATTTTTCTATTTTTAGTAGAGACGGGGTTTCACTGTGTTAGCCAGGTTGGTCTCAAACTCCTGACCTCAAGTGATCTACCCATCTCCACCTCCCAAAGTGCTAGGATTGTAGGCTAATTCTAACTTTTGAGCTATGTAGATGTTTTAAATATTTGAAAATAAAATTAATATAAGAGGTAAAAAAGCAAACCCTTAAATTGAATACAAACAGAAATAAATGAACCTAACTCTATGTTAAACCAAAAATATTACCTCATGAAGGAAATAATTATTTTAAACAACTTTTTTCTTTTGTTTTCTTTCTATTTTTTTTTTTTTTTAGATGGAGTCTTGCTCTGTCGCCCAGGCTGGAGTGCAGTGGCGTGATCTCAGCTCACTGCAACCCCTGCCTCCCAGTTTCAAGCAATTCTCCTGCCTCAGCCTACTGAGTAGCTGGGACTACAGGCATGCGCAACCATGCCTGGCTAATTTTTATATTTTTAGTACAGATGGGGTTTCACCACATTGGCCAGGCTGGTCTTGAACTCCTGACCTCAAGTGATCTGCCCACCTCAGCCTCCTGAACTGCTAGGATTACAGGCGTGAGCCACTGCACCCGGCCCCAAACAATTTTTAACATAGTATTCTGACTAAAGAGGAATGTGTTCTAAGGAGAGAAACAACTGCAAAGAAATTTTAAATTCATTTAGTAGGTTTATTGTTAGAAGTAGTCTTAGTAATGTAATTTTGAAACTACTTTATTTTTGTAGAATAAAGCAAATAAGTAAATGTATTAATTATATTAGGAACTAAGATTTTCAGTATAAAAGAAAAGAGATATAAAACTTGAAAACAAAACATGATACTAAATTTGAACTTAAAATTTAATGTAAACACATATTTTTTAAAAGTTTATTTCCCATCCATGTCCTCTGAAAAGCATTAGAGGCAGTGACACCTCAGCAGCAATTAGCACACCTAGAGCCCAAATGGTGGTTTCTAAACACTATGGTCTTTGGAGCAATGGCTGATGCCAGATCTGGAGCAGGAAAAGCACAAGATGAGCCTAAACACCTTTTGTGTCAAGAAACACGGAGGTGCTCAAAGATGAATGGAAGCCATGTCAAAAGAAGACAGGAGCCAGCTTGAAGGGGCTTCGTGTAAACAAACGTGGTCTAACTGGAGACAAATCACAAAGAACAATGATGATATTTAATTGTAATGTGATTAATAAGAGTCCCTAGACATGTCCCCCAAAATAAACAAAGTGATGGAGAGAGAGAAAAAGACAGAGTGAGACAGAGAAAGAAGGGGGTAAAGGAAAGTTTTTTTCATTGAAAAAGGTCAGCTTATACACGTAAAGGGAATAATAGCATGAGAAAAATATTTCACAACCTCCAGTGTAATAATTAATTTAGGAAAAGATCATCAACAGATGCTAAAATCATTAGGTGAAAGATTCCTGGGGAACTGCACCAAGTAACACTCCACAAAATTACTTACTAATTATACCTTTGCCATAGAGAAGCTTGCAGGTCGTCACCTTAACCAGAAGATCAAATAGCATCACTCAGAGTGAGGCAACCTAATAGCAGACACCTCCTGGTGTGATGCAATGTGAAAGATGCAAACTCATGTATGAAATACTGTTACCAAAATTGGTTTACCCTGAATCTACTCAAGCATCTCTCCTAGTCTGTTCTCAGGCTGCTATAAGGACATACCTGAGACTGGGTAATTTATAAAGGAAAGAGGTTTAATGGAATCACAGTTCCACATGGCTGGGGAGACTTCACAATCATGATGGAAGGTGAAGGAAGAGCAAATGTATGTCTTACGTGGTGGCAGGCAAGAGGGTGTGTGCCAGGGAACTGCCCTTTATAAAACCATCAGATCTCCTGAGATTTACTCACTAACATGAGAACAGCATGGGGGTAACCACCACCATGATTCAATTACCTCCCACCGGGTCCCTCCCATGACACATGGGGATTATGGGGACTATAATTCAAGTTGAGATTTGGGTAGGGACGCAGCCAAAACATATCAGCATCTAAACCTAACTTCTCATTTATAAGACAAATAGGGATTGAGGAACAAGTGACTAAACACAATGTGGAAACAATCAGACAAATTCAGAATGTAGGACATTCCACACTGCCTACACTCTTCTAAGAGCCAATATCACAGCCAGGGCTGGCTACAGATTTTTTGCAGCCTAGTGAAAAGGAAAAAAGTGAGGTCCCATGTTCAAAAAGCAAGAAAAAAGTGCTGTTAAAGATACTAAAAGACAAACCTTTCTTCCATGATTATTCTCTCTTGTTTGATCCTGGTGTTTCCTATTTGCTATTTGATGTTATTTGCTATTTGATGTCATTTTAGATAAAAATAAATTAAAATTTTAAGTTATTAGCATAAAATTTACAGTTATCTTTATATTATACAACACCGCTTTTAAATGCAAATGTAAGAGCATTTAACTCATGGTGGAATGGCCAAAATTACACAATTTGTTATTTCATAGTTCATACATGCATATATATTTTGTTCTTATCAGAGCAGTGAAAATGCTGCACAAAATTAACACAGCTGTTTTTATTTCACTTTTTTTTTTTTTTTTTTTTTTGAGACGGAGTCTTGCTCCGTCGCCCAGGCTGGAGTGCAGTGGCGCGATCTCGGCTCACTGCAAGCTTCGCCTCCCGGGTTCACACGATTCTCCTGCCTCAGCCTCCCGAGTAGCTGGGACTACAGGCACCCACCACCATGCCCAGATAATTTTTTGTATTTTTAGTAGAGATGGGGTTTCACCGTGTTAGCCAGGATGTTTTCGATCGCCTGACCTCGTGATCCGCCCACCTTGGCCTCCCAAAGTGCTGGGATTACAGGCGTGAACCACCGTGCTCGGCCTATTTCACTTCTATTAATACATGTGTGTGTATATATATATACAAACAAGAGACGTAACATGCATTATGGGTTCACTATATATATATTTTTTGAGACAGGGTCTCACTATGTAGTCCAGGCTGGAATGCAGTGGCACAAATGTGGCTTACTGCAGCCTTGAGCTCCTAGGCTCAAGTGATCTTCCAACCTCAGCTTCCTGAGTAGCTGGGATCACAGATGCACACCACCATGCCCAGATAATTTCTTTATTTTTTGTAGAGACAGGATCACACTATGTTGTCTAGGCTGATCATGAACTGGGCTCAAGCAATTCTTCCGCCTTGACCTCCCAAAGTGTTGGGATTACAGATGTAAGCCACCGGGCCTGGCCTATTTCTCTACTTGATACACATTCTACCTGCTCTCTACCTTCACATACTTATAAATAAAGAAGTACTGAAAAGAAAAAAAAATTGTTCTATCATTTGCTTTCCTTATATGTCATCATTTTCAGTGTAAGTTAACAGGGAAGCATGTTACAGAGAACATATCACTCACTTTACAGAGAATTAAGAGGTGAGTAAGGAAGGATATGATGGCTAAGTGTGGTGGCTCATGCCTGTAATTCCAGCACTTTGGGAGGCCGAGGTGGGCAGACCATGAGGTCAAGAGTTTAAGACCAGCCTGACCAACATGGTGAAACCCCATCTCTATTAAAAATACAAAAATTAGCCAGGCATGGTGGTGCGCACTTGTAATCCCAGCTACTTAGGAGGCTGAAGCAGGAGAATCACTTGAACCTGGGAGGCGGGGGTTGCAGTGAGCCGAGATGGCACCACTGCACTCCAGCCTGGATGGCAGAGCGAGACTCCAACTCAAAAAAAAAAAAAAAAGGATATGATAGGGTTCGTTGGTCATTTGTGTTTCTTAGACCACCATTGCCTTCTGTCTGCATTTGAAGCCAGTTCTGGTTTGACAGAAAGCTTCTGGTTTGAATAAAAGTGTCCCACTTACCCAGTCACAGATGTAACACGCATTATGGGTTCACTAGAATTCCATGCTTATGGAATATCAGGAACGCTATCCACAGATGGTGTGGCAAGGAATGGCTGTGGACACAGATATTGGGTGTATCCCCTCTGATCAGGCACACAATCCATTGTCCCATCAGACTTCATTTATAAAACCCAAGTTCAAAGATAAAATTATGAAGAATTTCAGGAGAGTGATGGCAGAACATCAAACCAAGCACTGGGTCCTTCAGAACACACAGGGCCTTTGCACAGGTCACATGTCCATGAAGCAGCGCTGGTCCTGTTGCAGGGGGTATGTGCAGAGAGTGTGCTAGATCAGAGGTGGGCAAATATGACCCATGGGACGGATCCAGCTCACCCGCCACTTTTTTTCTTTTTTGTACAGTTGCCAGCTAAGAATGGTTTTTATGTTTTTAAATGGTTGTTAATGTAAGTACCTAACTTATTTTGCTTGTTGGCCTGCAAAATCTAAAATATTTACTGTGTACTATCTGACGCTTTATGGAATAAGTTTGTTGATCCCTGTTCTAGATTAAAAGAGACTAAAGAAGAAAAAAGAGAGAAATTGAGAGACTAAAGAGCAAAACAATGAAATGCAATGAGAGAACTTTGATTGGATCCTTTGAATCTTTGTTGGGGAGAGAAATCCACTATAAAACCATGCTTGGGGCAATTGGGGGAAATATGAATATGTAATTGGTGAAGATACACATGTTCATTGCACTATTCTTTCAACTTTTCTGCACATATGAATTTTTCATAATAAAAAAGTCGGGAAAATAATTGCAAAACTCAGGCCTAATGAATTTTGCAATTATTGTCATACAGATTAGACTTTTTTTTTTTGAGACTGAGTCTTACTCTTTGCCCAGGCTGGAGGGCAGTAGCATGATCTCGGCTTACTGCAACCTCTGCCTCCTAGGTTCAAGTGATTCTCGTGCCTCAGCCTTCCAAGTAGCTAGGATTACAGGCATGTGCCACCACCCCCGGCTACTTTTTGTATTTTGAGTAGAGATAGAGTTTCATCATGTTGGCCAGGCTGGTCTCGAACTCCTGACCTCAAGTGATCTGCCCGCCTTGGCCTCCCAAAGTGCTGGGATTACAGGTGTGAGCCACTGCGCTTGGCCAGGTTAGATTTTAATTATGCCATAAATGACGTTAGTATGCAAGGAGATGCTTTGTGCCTGAGCCCAGCATCAGGACTGTCCGTACTTCTCATGGTGGGGCTCCCGGGGTACCCAGTGTGTTGCTACATGTTTAACAGCTGGATCTCCAGAAATAGCAAAGCCAATGTGTAGCATTTGCCAGTCTCCATGGTGTAAATACTCCCATCATGGCTGATTTCAGACTATCTCCGTGATGTCACTCTAGTCGAAGCTGAGCAGACATTTACACAATTGGCTCTCACAGGCTCACTAGAGTTGGCCACAGCAAATGACTGTGATCCAGCCTGACAAAGGGTTAGATCAGACCAAATGAATCCTGATTCCTCAGGAGCCACTGAATTGGGGTTAGGGTGGTGTTTGGAACCTGGACCCCAGGAAAGGAGGGGCAAATAAGCTCAGACTTAGGGTTAAGGGAGCCTCTCAGTGTGAGCCAGCCACCTTCACTGCAGAAACCTGGCTCTTATTAGTGCACTCCCAGGGGACTCCACAGTCAGTCTCTGAGCTGAATGCCCCCCACCTCCCAGCAGGCTGCTCACCACTTCCAGACTGCTCACAATACCACTTTCCTAAAAGCCCATTCTGGCTTGAGACTCCAAAGGGTGTCTCCATTGTACCCGGAATCTGAACTTATCTGCTTGGACTTACTCTTCTTCTTCCTCCTCATTTCCCACGCCAGTCCATGTTCATCCTCCCCTCCAGCCAGGTTGCTCTCCTTGCTGCCCACAAATACAGCCAACTTATTCTGCCCCCCAAATTCTCACTAACATTTCCGTAGCTGCAATGACCTGCTCTTATCCCCTTTACCTAAACTCTGAGTTTATCAATTCTGGTTCAAAGCTCAAACATTCCAGCAATCCCTCCCTGCCTGCTCTAGCTCACAACTGACTTCTTTTTCTTTACTCACTGCCTCCACTGCAACCACTGCCTCTTTTATCATCTCCTTCACCACTACTAACCTCCAGTGCCATCATCTCCTTCATCACCTCCACCATCACTGTTCTTTTTTTGTTTTGTTTTTGTTTTGGTTTTGGTTTTTTGTTTGTTTGTTTGTTTGAGATGGAGTCTTGCTCTGTTGCCCAGGCTACAGTGCAATGGCCTGATTTCAGCTCACTGCAACCTCTGCCTCCCAGGTTCAAGTGATTCTCCCACCTCAGCCTCCCAAGTAGCTGGAATTACAGACAGCCGCCACCACGCCTGGCTAATTTTTGTATTTTTAGTAGAGATGGGGTTTCACCATGTTGGCCAGGCGGGTCTTGAACTCCTGACCTCAGGTGATCTGCCCACCTTGGCCTCCCAAGGTGCTGGAATGACAGGCATGAGGCACCATGCCCGGCCCCATCACTGTTTCTTTACCTTCATTACAGCCATCACTCCCGCCACCACCACGGTCGGCCCCTCCAGCTTTCCTCCATTCGTTTCATCTCCTACATCACCACCACCATGACTGGTCCACTGCTTCCACCACCACTTGCATCATTACTTCTCCTTCTTTTTTGTTTTTGAGACAGGATCTCACTCTGTTGCTGAGGCTGGAGTGTGGTGGCCTGATCATAGCTCACTGCAGCCTCCACCTTCTGGGCTCAAGCCATCCTCCTACCTCAGCCTCCCATGTAGCTGGGACTACAGGTGTGTGCCACTATGCCTGGCTAATTTTTATATTTTATGTAGAGATGGGGTTTTGCCATGTTGCCCAGGCTGGTCTCAAACTCCTGAGTTCAAGCTATCTGCCTGTCTTGGCCTTCCAAAGTGCTGGGGTTACAGGCGTGAGCTGCCGTGCCCAGCCGGCCTCGTCACTTCTACCATCACTGCTCCATGACCTTCCTTGTTACTTTCTTAATCACCATCTCCATCACTTCCAATGTTACCTCCACTGGTGAGCCCACTCTGTCTCCTTCCTCACCTCCACCTCTCCACCATGATCTTCCCTACCACATACACCATCACCACCTTCATCCTTATCACCCTACCCCATCTTTGCTACCTTTATTTCCCTGTCTTAATCTCAGCTATCAACTCCACCATCATTACCACCATGACTTGTGCCATTGTCACTATTGCTATTTATTTGTCCTCTATCCTTATCCTCCTCTTTCCCCTCATTATTATCAGATTTTCCTGTCTTCATGTCCCTGACACTGAGCATAGTAACTTTACGTCTAGTCCTTGCCTATAGGTGACATCCGTGTAAAAATGAGATAAGGCACCTGAATGAAGAAAGTAATCTCAGATACTGCACAGAGCCCATAGGTGAGAGCATTTGCAACCTTTCTCAGGCACCAAAGTGATTGGTACACCTGAGCATGGTGGGTGAAGAGAAGATAGGGCCTGGCTATAGAGTGGCTCTACAGGCTGGACAGCTCCCAGCTCTGAGTCCTGCTTCCTCATCCTTATCACAACTGGGCTCACCTGGGCTTGAGGCCAGCGCCACAGGAAGCTCTAGTGGTGCCCAGCTGGGCTGGACGAGTAGTCATTCCAGCCCAGCCCTTGGTCTGCCCTGTCTGCAAGCCTTGGTGGGAAAGCACGCTGCTCTACAGGACTCCAACCTCAAATGGTCGGGCACCTGTCCCAAACAGCCCCAGCTTCCCTTAATCATCACTCTGACTCTCCCACCCCCAAAATAATCAAAACGCTCCTTGAGCCTATTTTTGTTTGCCTCCCTACCATCTCTAGGATGGATTAATTCCAGATGTTTGCAGCTTCCTGAGTAAAGCATTGCTTCCTATTATTTCTCCAAAGGCATCCTTTTTTTTTTTTTTTTTTTTTTTTTGAGACGGAGTCTCGCTCTGTCGCCCAGGCTGGAGTACAGTGGTGCGATCTTGCAAGCTCCGCCTCCTGGGTTCACGCCATTCTCCTGCCTCAGCCTTCTAAGTAGCTGGGACTACAGACGCCCACCACTATGCCCAGCTAATTTTTTGTATTTTTAGTAGAGATGGGGTTTCACCGTGTTAGCCAGGATGGTCTCGATCTCCTGACCTTGTGATCCGCCCACCTCGGCCTCCCAAAGTGCTGGAATTACAGGCGTGAGCCACCATGCCTGGCCCCAAAGCATCCTTTTCTAAACTTCTTGGGGGTACTTTGTTTCCACCACAAGGTTCAACTGCTGAACGTTCTCCATACTCTTCATGCCATCACACTTGGCGCACCTTCTCTCTTCTTTCCCTCTAGAAAATGAATAAGACAAACATTTAAATCTATGGTCAGTGTAAATCCCTCTATGCTTTGCTAGGTGTAATTGCTCTTTCCCAAACCTCCCTTTGTGTAGCAATGTCTTTCTCATGGTGAATGGGACATAAGTCATGACAACATGAAAACCATGCCATCAGTTATGCCTTCAGAGTAGGATTCAAAGAAGAGTATGGCATGAAAGTCTCCTTTAGATCTGTCATCTGCCTTCTGCTCTGGCCTCTCTCTTGGTACCCTGCTTCCCTCCCCCATGCCCCCTGCCATCTGCTAAGCCCTCAACTAAGTTTTCAAGGCACTGTTCTCTGTACCTTTGGACATGGGGCTTCCACCACCTGGAATGTCCTTCCTTTTCATCTGGTTCTAGACCCAGCTGAGGTCCCTAGAAACCTTCCCTGAGGCTCCCAATGCCCCCGTATCCCCTCATTCAGAGCATTTCACCCACTTGCCTGTCACTGTCCGTTTAGGATTCCCCATCAGGCTACATCATTTCCCCGCTGCCCTCACCCTCCTCTGTGATCTTCACAGTGGAGGGACTGTGGCATCATTGCTGACTTGAAATAGCTTGTATTATTGGTTTGGGATGTCTTGTGTAAAAAGTTCCTGGAATCATGTTTTTTACCTATAAACCATGTCAAGAAGGGCCATTAAAGAAAAGGCATAAGGGTGGGAGAATTCAGTGCTTCTACGAGAGGAACTTCTGTTTCAGAATACACACAGAAGAAAAATGTTGGGAATTTGGACGACCAGGTGGTGGTGGAGGTACACTGGGGTGGCCCTGCCCAGCAATGCTTACAGCAGGGCCAGGCTTAACTCCCTGGCTGAGCTGGAGGCTACCAGCTACCTCTCAGCTGGGGCCCCTTGGTTCCTGTGCTTGCTTGGACCCACTTCCCAATTTTGAAAAGATACCTTTTCTTTTACGATGACTTGTAGTTTCATCAGCTGAGCCACACAGGTTCATTTTTTAGCAGCCACTTCTTTGGAGCCATAGCTCACATCTTTCCTGGACTTTCAATATGGGATTTTAAAATAGTCTTGTGGCTTCCTGTGAACTGTTTACTTGTAAAACAGGAACACATTATATTAATTTCTATTTTTTCCGAACAGTATTTTTCTATAGTTCCTCTTACTAAAAATGACAGATTTTTTTTTTTTTTTTTTGGTTCTTCCCCTATCACCAGGAGGTAAAGTTTAGTGAAGTTGTGGTGTGTTGAGGTGGGAGGTTTGTCCAAATATCTCCTGTGGAAGACCCAGGTCACTACACAGGACCAAGTTTCATGTGTGTCCCTTCCCTGTGGGTTCTAAACCACAGTGCCTGCACTGGGCCTTGCTTGTTTATCTTCTTGTCAAACAGCCCTTCCATTCTGTGTTTGAATGTGGTTCTTGCTGCTTTCATATTGGGCATGCAGTGTCATGCACGACCAATGTGGGTAGACATGGAGCTGCCTGTCCAGAACCCCATCAGCACAGTCCTTCCCTGGCAGTATTTGTGGGAGGAGAAGAGCTGCAGCATGGTTGAGCAGTGGGCAGCTAAAGATCCAGTTCTCTGGAAGCAGAATTGGCTCCACTGTGGTTTGGGACCAGCGAGCTACAGCCAGTGTGCAAGGGTCTCACTGAATAGTAGGTGCCCACTTGGGACCCTAAATAGGGAGATGTTCCCCTCAGAGACCTTGCTCTCCCTGGCTTCTCTGGTAGATCCCTTGTCCTTTCCAACAGGGCACATCCACTCTGTTTACACATGCAAGAGGTAATTGCAGAGCACCGTTAGTAGACCATTGCTCTCACACTCAAATGTAACTTGAGAAGACTTACTTAGGTAGCTTGGACCAGGACCTCCCACCTTCACCTCCAGGTTAATCAGATAAGCAGTGCCCTTCCAGGGACCACCTGCTTTTGTTTCACTTTTATCTGTCTCCATCCTGAACTGAGGCGGGTAGCCCTCTGCGTGGCCCTTTCGGTGCCCTTCTCCTTTCAAATCTATGGCTGAACTCTTCTTAGAAGATTACAGGCTGGGTGCAGTGGCTCACATCTGCAATCACAGCACTTTGGGAGGCCAAGGTGGGTGGATCACTTGAGGTCAGGAGTTCGAGACCAGCCTGCCCAACGTGGTGAAACCCTGTCTCTACTAAAAATACAAAAATTAGCTGGGCATGGTGATGGGTGCCTGTGGTCCCAGCTACTTTGGAGGCTGAGGCAGGAGAGTCCTTGAACCCAGGAGGCGGTGGTTGCAGTGAGCCAAGATTGCACCACTGGACTCCAGCCTGGGTGACAGAGTGAGACTCTGTCTCAAAAAAAAAAAGAAAAAAGAAGAAGATTACGTTATTATTTTATCTGGACTAAAGTATGCTGAGTATTATGAATAAAGCTTCTATAGACATATTTGTGCATGTCTCTTTGGTGAATATTTGGACTCCTTTCTGTTGGCTCTGTACCCAGAGGTGGAATTTCTGGGTCATACAGTGCTGTTTACCTTTAGTAGACCCGACCAAACATTTTTCCAAAGTGCTTGAACCAATTTACCCTCCCACCAACCATAGATGAGAGTTCCAGTTGCTCCGAGCCCTTGTCAGTCTTTGATTTCACTTTTTCTGGTGGGTTTGTAGTAATGTCTCATTATGGCTTCAGTTTGCACTGATGAATGATATATATATATTTTTTTCTGAGACGGAGTCTCACTCTGTCCCCCAGGCTGGAGTGCAGTGGCGCAATCTGCTCACTGCAAGCTCTGCCTCCTGGGTTCATGTCATTCTCCTGCCTCAGCCTTACAAGTAGTTGGGACTACAGGCGCCTGCCACCATGCCCGACTAATTTTTGTACTTTTAGTAGAGACAGGGTTTCACCGTGTTAGCCAAGATGGTCTCGATCTCCTGACCTCATGATCCGCCCACCTCAGCCTCCCAAACTGCTGGGATTACAGGCGTGAGCCACCGCACCTGGCCCGATACTGGGTATTTTTTTTTTTTTACAAGTTTAATAGACATTTGGATAGCGTTTGTTAATATTCAAATCTTTTGCCTATTTTTTTGTTATTTCTTTTTATTGACTTGTGGAGTTTCAAAAATAAATATTTTTAACAGGACTACTTTGTCAGTTATATATATGTATTACAAACATCTCCCAGTCTTTGGCTTATCTATTCATTTTCTTAGTGATGTCTTTGGATAAAGGACATTAATAAAGTTCTTTTTTTTTCTTTAGTGATTAATGCGTTTATGCCCTGTTTATAAATTCTTGCTCTCCCCAAGGTCATGAAGACTTTTTTTATGTTTTCTTATGGAAGACTGACTGTTTTACCCTCCCAACTTAAGGCCTATAATCCATTTTGAATTAATTTTTGCATGAAGTATAAGTTAGGGGTAAAAGTTAATTTTTTCCAAATAGATATCCAATTGCTCTAGTATCATTTATTGCAAGACAATTTTCCCTCATGAATAGCAATGGAACGTTTGTTGAAAAACATAGCAGCTTTATTCATAATAGCCCCAAACTGAAAACAACCCAATGTCCCTGAATGGATAAACAAATTGTGGCACATCCGCATAATGGAATACTTCTCAGCAATCAGAAGAACGAATTATTCTTGAATGAAGAATGAATAGATTATTGATGCACAACAATACGAAAGAATCTCAAAAACATTATGTTGAAGAAAGGTTGACAGAGATAAAAGAATGCATACTCGTTGGTCCATTTATATGAGGAAAAACTAATGTGTGTTGATAAAAGTCAGAACAGGCCAGGCAGGTGGCTCATGCCTGTAATCCCATCACTTTGGGAGGCTGAGGAGGGCAGATCACAAAGTCAGGAGTTCGAGACCAGCCTGGCCAATATGGTGAAACCCTGTCTCCACTAAAAATACAAAAAAAATTAGCCAGGCATGGTGACATGCACCTGTAATCCCAGCTACTTGGGAGGCTGAGGCAGGAGAATTTCTTGAAACTGGGAGGCGGAGGTTGCAATGAGCCGAGATTGCGCCACTGCACTCCAGTCTGACGACAGAGAGATTCCGTCTCAAAAAAAAAAAAAAAAAAAGTCAGAACAGTGGGTCACCACGGGGAGGGGCAGGGAGGATGTTGACTAGGTAGGGCATTTTCAAGGCACTGTTCCTGTGCCAGGCCCTATCACCTGGCTGTGAAGGTCAAGAGAGAAGGCGGCATCAGTTTGGAGGCTGTTAAGAATGCAGAGTAATGCTGCCTGTTTACATCTCTGCTGGGTTATTACCAGTTCTGCTCTGAGCAGCCTTGCGGGCAATTGGACCTTTCCAGGACTGTGTCAGGGCATTAGTTCCTTTCTGTAGAATGCCAGAATGTGCAAACTCCTAGAGTCCTAATCATTAGGTCTAAAAGCCATTTTAAGACTTATTGGGCTGAGCCTTCTCATTTTTGTAGATAAGACACCTGGAGCTGACAAGAAAGGGAACATTTCTAGGAGCTAAAAGAATTCCATCATCATCACGATCTTTGTCCTCATGGCTACTAAGATTTTGAAGACTCTGGCAAGAAAGGGAACATTTCTAGGAGCTAAAAGAATTCCATCATCATCATGATCTTTGTCCTCATGGCTACTAAGATTTTGAAGACTTACAATGACTTACGACATGCCAAGCACTGTGCTAAGGCTTCTGATTAATTCTCCCAACAAGCCTGTGAGGAGTGTCAGTGTTAGCTCTCAGTATAGAGGAGAAGTTTGGAGCTTGAAGAGGCCCACTTCCTAGCTCCCATGGCCATGCCTGCTAGCCTCAGGCTGCGTTGAGTCTATGTCACCTGCCTCTCTGGGCCCCTCCAGGGCTTCCATTTCTCAAGCACGTGGTTTCTGTAGACCCAATGATTACATGGTTTTGAGTGGTCCTGGCCCTCTGTTCTGGGATGGTCTGGAGCCACTCATGGCACCCTCATGGGTCCTCCCCTGTCTGCTCTAGCCCTGAGGCTGCATTCATAGAGGAGTTTCCTCTGCAAGTGCAGGTGTGGTGGGCCTCACTCAGAGCTGGTTCCATTGAGGCAGCTTGCATCTTCTCTCTCTTCTTGGCTTTGTCAGCATGGTGTTGGGCCAATCCCATTTGGGCTTCCCTTATGAACCCAGCCTTGAGGGGTAGTGTGAGGCGCCTTTTTGTATGGGCTTGTAGAAGATTCATGAGCAAGTGTGAATGATGGATGATTAATCTTCACACAAACCCACAGTTCCCCCTCAACCCTGGAGTCCCAGATTTCCTCAGTCTTTCCCTGTTGGGTGGGGACTTTACAGATAGAAGTGACACACAGAGAAGAAACCCTAAACCAACTTCAGATTTCTTTCCCACCTTGTAAACCATAAGGTCATGTACGTACGTGCATGTATGCACGCACACACACCTTCACGGGGGTCAGAGCCATGGGCTTCCAGATTGGGGCTGTCTTTAACTGGAGAGGCAGATCTGTGCAGCAGGATTTAAGGGTGGGTGCTGGACGTTTACTTTCTTCTTGACTCATCTGACCACTACCTAGTGTCCCCTTCCTTTTGTGTAGGTGATGGGACCCTGCTGGGATTCCCTGTCCACTAGATCTAAATCCAGCTGCCTGCAGCTGCACTGAGACCAGGAGAAATAACCCTGGGGGGTCTCAGCCAACTGCAGTGGGATGTTGTGTCCACTGGGACATCTGCCATGGGCATGAGAGAGCTGGGATGGACAACTCAGAGATCAGGGACCTTTGCCCCTCTGCTCTCAGGAACCAGAGACAACCCTCAGCAGCCTCCTGGCTACCCCATTTTCCCTGGGGAGAGGAAGGGAAAGTGAGGGACAGAAAAGAGAGGAATAAGAAGGAAAAAAAGGAGGAGGAGCCCCTTTCACTTTCTCAACCGTGCACCCATCATGCCCTTTTGGATCCCTTCCCTGAGGAAAATGTCAGGGTGGGGGACCAGCAGGTGTTCATCCCTAAAGAAGTGACTTAGGGGTTGTTTCCAGGCAGGGCACCAGAGGTGTCTGTTTTTAAATATAATCACAGAGTTGGCTTCAAATGTTTTCAGGCCAGGCGTGATGGCTCATGCCTGTAATCCCAGTATTTTGGGAGGCTGAGGTGGGTGGATCACCTGAGGTCAGGAGTTTGAGACCAGCCTGGCCAACATGGTGAAACCCCGTCTCTACTAAAAATACAAAAAATTAGTCGGGCGTGGTGGTGGGTGCCTGTAGTCCCAGCTACTTTGGAGGCTGAGGCAAGAGAATCACTTGAACCCGGGAGGCAGAGGTTGCGGTGAGCTGAGGTTGTGCCGTTGCACTCCAGTCTGGGCAACAAGAATGAAACTCCGTCTCAAAAAAAAAAAAAATGTTTTCAGAGTATATTGGGGCCAAAAGTTGGGTCCTGTACAATCATAAATATAGGACACTGGTCTGTGCACTTACTGTTCCAGCCAACAAATCTACAGAGTCCCTACTGTGCTAGGTCTGATATAGTGATGAGAACACAGTCATGATTCCTGCTCTTTGCTCTTTCATTTGCGGGGGAAGGTTTCCAGTGGATCTAGATGAGAACTGATGATACTCAGGGAGAGGAGAGAGATTAGCCCAGGGAGAAAGAGCCGTGGTAGGGAGACAGGCAGAGTTAAGTAATTGTGACAGACACCGTGTAGCCGCAAAACCTAACCTATTTACTATTTGGCCCTAAAGTGTGCAGACCCTGATCTAGGCTACAGACTACTTGAGGACGGGATCCCCATCCAATGCATTTTTTGGAGCCCACAAAGTCCATAGCACAGAGCCTGGCATGCACTTGCTGCTTGGTAAGTGTTTGCTGTATGAGCAAATGTGAGGATGAGCTGGACTGACGATGGGGTATAGCGGAGAGGAGCCAGAAGGAAAAAAAGAAGGAAGGGAGAAGATGAGGGACTTAGGGTCAATTCTTCTTTGTGAATTTGCCTCCCTGCTGAGATTTATTTGTAATCTCCAAATCAGCACTTGTGGCCCTGTTACAGTCATTCACAGGTAAGTGCAGAGCGGTGAAAAAGTTGAGTCACCAAATGCACATGCTCCCACTGAGGCTGAACAAGGGTACATTCTGCCTTCTTTCAGTGCTTGTCTATAAACAAGTGTCCTTTTCACGGTCTGTTTAGTGCCACGCTATTTTGCAGTTTTGTGCTTTACGGTGGTGGTTTTGCTGTTTGACATGGCCTCCAGGTGTCGTGCTGAAATGCAGCCTAGTGTTCCTGGGTTCAAGACTGTGATGTGCCTTATGGAGAAAATACGTGTGTTAGATAGGCTTTGTTCAGGCGTGAGTTATAGCGCTGTTGGCTGTGAGTTCCATGTTAATGAGTCAATGACATGTATTAAGTATACTGTCTTTAAACAGAAACATACATAATACAAGGTTATGTATTGGTTGGTTGAGGAAGATGGTGTGACCGGCGGCTTTCATGCAACTAACCCTCTATTTCCTCTAGAAACAGGGTTCTGGATTTACTAATTCAGTGTTCAAGGCAACTTTGTAGAACATAACTACCATGAATAAGGAGAATTTTTTTTTTTTTTCGAGGCAGGATCTGGCTCTGTCACCAGGGCTAGAGTGCAGTGGCACAATCATGGCTCACTGCAGCTTCGACCTCCCGGGCTCAAGAGATCCTCCTACCTCAGCCTCCCCAGTAGCTGGGACTAAGGTGCATGCCACAATGCCCAGATAATTTTTTAGAAAAATTTTTACAGAGAAGCCGTTTAACCATATTGCCCAGGCTGGTCTCCAACTCCTGGGTTCAAGTGATCCTCCTGCTTTGGCCTCCCAGATCTCTGGGATTACAGGTTTGAGCCACCTCACCCACCCCAAAGAAAGAGAATTGACTGTAGATCAAGTAAGTGGTGTGGAACAGACCAGGTCCGTTAGAATTAACTGAGAGAGGAGAGGGGCAGCATGAAATGATGTGGCTGCTGGAGGGCGGGTGGGAAGTGGCCAGGCGCTGGGATTTCTTTGGGCCATGTCAGGGCCAGCAGCTGTGAGTAGGACAGCTGGGATGTCAGTGCTTTCAGGCAGAGGCCACAGCACAGAGCAGGGAACCTCACAGCTAAGGACCTGAGCCCCCTGGGCACCCAAGGGGAGGTGAGAAAAGGTGACCCAGCTGGGATGCAGGGCAGGTTGGAGGGTTGAGCACACCTGGAAGGGAAGCTCTGTGACCAGAAGAGCACTCCTGGGTACAGTGGGCAACTGAGCCTTGAGGATAGGGGCTGTCTCTTTCCTCCATGGTGTGGGAGACAGAGTGGACACGACCTCTCAGCCTGCACTGGGCTTCCTGAGCCTCAGTTTTGGGCGCTTGTGAGGGCACAAGCCATCAGTGTGCCCTGAATTGCCCCCAGAGCAGAGGAGCGCTGTGCTGGGCACCAGGCTTGGCTCTCAGGCCAGCTGGCCATGGGTGAGGTCAGGGTCAGGGGGTGCCTTATAGAGCAGGGAGAGGGGAAGAAGGCCAGGGCATTCACTGGGGATATTTGCCCCATCCCTTACGTTCCTGAGAGGCGCAGTGGACGTGGAACCGTAGAGACCCCTCCCCAGGGAAGCACCCCCTCCCTGCCCCTGCCCAAGTAAGACTGGCTGATTTAGAACTGTGTTAATCCTTGCCACGAGCCTGAAAGTCACCAGGGAGGAAACTGCTGCCCACCCCATCCCACCCCAGGCACACCTTGTTATGCCAATGTTATGTTTTCACACAAATAACCTTTTATTGGTGTTGTTTAAGAAAACTATTAAGTCATCGATTTTCAAAGTGGAAAGTACCTAAAGATGTCTAGTTTCTTAGCTAGAAGCAAGTAAAATATTATCATCCCCGTGCTGCAGTTGAGGAACAGGGCCCAGGGCCCCCAAGCCGACGCGGCAGAAGGGGAAGATGGGGGCTTGGACACAGGTCTCTCCTCCTGATAAAGGTTTCCCCTACACTGGTTCTCTTTTCTTCTCCCACCTGGTTTTGGACCTGAATTTCCCTCCTTCGGCCCCTGTTTCCCTCCAGGAAGTCCCAGTGTAAGGAGGCCACATGTCAGCTCTGAATCAATCCGTCTCTTCCTGCTCCTGCTTGCTTTGGTCACCCTGTGTCCCTTGTGCCCTCTGTCCCAAACCCTCTCTGTTTGTAACCCTCTGTTCACAGCTGTTCTCTGTGGCTCCAGGAGGGAACCAGCGTCCGGGGCGCAGGCAGGGGTGGGCTGCTGGCCGGAGTAGGGTCCTGTGACTTGTCCTAAACAAGCCCTGCTCTGTGTGCTGTGCTGCTGAGGCCAGCTGCTGGGAGAAAGCAAAGGAAAGAAAATCTGTTTTAAAAAAGCCCAGGTGAAGGCAGCCAAGACAAATATACCCAGCCAAGGGAGCAGGAGGGCTGGAAGATTCCAGATGCAGAGGCCTCCCTCCATTGCCATCGTCTGATCAAGGGGCTGGGCAGGGCGACACGGGGGAGGGAAAGTGCTCAGGGCAGGGGCCTCTTTACCTGCTGCCTTCTGAGCCCGGGCAAGAGACGTTTTCCTGAGGACAGGCCATGATTGAGGTGGGGGGAGGGGGAGCGGTGGCGCAAGGAGGAGATAACACAACTGAAGCTTGGCTGGAAATCCAAGGGCCCACCATAGTCAGCTGGGGCGGGGGCATGTGGACAACACCAGGCTTTGTCCCAGTTGAAGACCAGCTAAGGGACTCTGCCCTCCTGCTCTCTGTCCCACTCCCAGGCCCCCGCCTCACTCACTCTTCTGCCATGCTGCCCTCTGTCAACACTAGCCTGAGTGAGGGGGGCTGGGGGAATGTGTGGTTTCATCCTTTATTGCTGTTCTGGGAATCAAACCTGGGCCTCATGGAAATGTACCCTCCGAAAGGACAGCCATGGTCTCCCAGCACGGGACGTTTACCCAGGGCGGGCCCCAGTGAGTCAGGGGGGCACTCGTCCTGGGAGAGAGTGCCTGCCGGCGGGTCGCAAGCATAAACAGTAAGGGCATTTTGCTGCTGCCTCACTCTTCACCAGCACAGAGAGAGAGCGAGAGAGAGAGAGAGAGAGAGAGCAGAACTTGCTGCAAAGTTGGCGCGAGAGGGAGGACCACATGGGGCTAGAGCCAGTCCTCGGACCTGGTTGGGCAAATGCCCATGGAGCTGGGTCACTAGGCAGAGGCTTTGGGGTCTGCAAACTGAGACTCCCCTAAAGTGCTGGAACCAGACACATGTTGGCCTAATGCCAAGGCAGACACACAGGGCAGGCCCAGAGCGGGCAGAACAGTGGGACAGGAGCCTCCATGGGCGACACGCCGTGTATCCGAGGCCTCCTGGCCAAGACCCCGAGTATCTTTCCAAATTTGTGGAGGGCCACCCTCTGAAGAGAGGAATGATGTGGTATATGGCCCCAGCAGGGAGCTGGAACAATGGATCACAGAACCTGGAGACAGAATTAGACTCTAATAAGGGAGAACTTTTTAGGAATTGGGAAGTCTCTCTGAGGACAGATGATGTGTTTTAGAAGCTAATGAGTTAAAATGAGTTATCTGCCATTAAAAGCATTCAAAAAAAAGGTATGGTAGCCACTTAGGACGGGAGTCACAAATTAAATGGATGGCTGCGACACATCCTTAAAGGGCCCGCCCTATCCCGAGAGTCTTTAAGTTCTAGAAATTGTGTAGCATGCATGGTGGCAAATGCCCTAATCTCATTGAATATCAGTTTCCCCGTCTGAAAAATGGAAATGTTGCTGCTTACCCTTTTCTAGAGCATGTCACGGTGAAGCCCAAATGAGCTTTGAAACCCTCAAAACTGTAGTGACATGTGACATGTGGCCAGCAGAAGTTCTCAGTAAATATATGTGGCCATTAAATCATCAAGATCAGTAATTGAAGGTGCCAAAGTCAAGACCCCACTATCTCCTGAAGGCCCACAAGTCTCCACCTCAAGCCACGCCTCATTATTTCCTCTATCAACAGACAGACTCCACACACACACACACACACACACACACACACACACACACTTTCTCCCTTCCCTAAAGAGTCTTTTCGTTTAGTTGGGCAGTAGGTCTGCCTCCTCCATCTGTAACTTGCACTTTTTCTTTTTAAAGACTGAATTCAAAGATCATCTCTTCTAAGTTCTTTATCCTCTACTCGCTCTATTTGGGCTAGACTAGGTGCCTCTTCTTGCCTGAGCCAGTATTTACCATAGCACTTCCATTACTGCTTGTTTTCTTGCTTATTGTTTCCACCAGGGTGGGGTCCTAGAGGCAGGGATGGCGTTTAATGCATCACCATGGCGGGATAGCTTAACTGTAAAGGGCGTGTGCTTTGGAATTGAGCACCCCTGTGTTAAACTCCCAGTCTGCTCTTGGCGAAGTGTAGGAACTTGGTCTCCCAGAGTCTCAGCTTTATCATCTATTTAATGGGGGATCCTAAAGTGGGGCTAAGAACATTCAGAGTTGTTGTGAGGATTAAAGAAATAAACACTGTATGTGGAGTGCTTAGCATGGGGTCAGGGACCCAGTAAATGTCCAGTAGATTTAGCCATTGTGACTATGACAGAGCTAGGGCCTAACACACAGCAGGAGCTAAAGTCTGGGTGACTGGCAGATGGAGGAAAAACTGAACAAATAGATGTTTGCCGGTCCCTGGCTGGCAAAGCTGGACTCATAATGACTTTTTGTGGGCCCCAGGGACTGGTCTCCATGTGCTGAAAATGGCACTGCCAGGAGTCAAGAAGAAAGGTGAGACCCTCAGTGTCAGGGAACTGAGAGAAACCAAGGAGCCAGGGCTGTTCTAGGATCCTTCAGCAGAGGCCCAGGAGGGTGGTCACTGGCTCCCCCTTGTTGGGAAGTGTCCCTGGTGCCAAAGCCTGGGCCCCATTCACTCTTACAGCAGCCTCGCTCCAGGCTGACCACTGCTCCTGGAGTTTGTTGAAGGAAAGTGGCGGGAGGTGCACGTGCACTGGAGCCACTCGTTGTCCAGCTAGGGCTGTGCAAGCAGACACACAACAAAGCAGCCCATTGAAGGCTGGTAAACAGCCTGCAGAAGGGACACCGTGTTCCACATTGACAGACACGCACCAGGCTCTATTTAAAGACCCACACACTGGGATTAGCACAGGTACATTTATTTCTAATTGTCCACGTGGCCCTCTGTGATTCTCTCGGAAGAGTGACCTCACTTCCTTATTGACCCAAAATAACCTCTCCCCACCATCCCAAGACATTTTTGTCATTCTGGGTCTTGTCATTCAAACAAACAAACAACCTAGTCTATTAGGTCTCTTATTTTTCTCCTTTTCTGAAACGCGGTTCACCCAGGTCCCTCTTAGAGGGCTGAGCGTTGGCCAAACATGGATGTTTGAAATGTAATTATTTTGATGTGACCAAGTAGCAAAGAAACCAGGGTTTTGGCGGGGTGAGGAGCACCAGGTGAAATATGGGGCACCTGCAAACTTGGAACCCACAACTGTTGCTCTCTGGCTGGCTGAAAATAATTTTTGAGAGTGCAAAGAGAGAAAAATGACTCCTGGGTCAAAACTACCCCCTTCCTCTCCAGCCACTCATGGGGAAGGAACCGGCAATGTCAGGGGCAGGTGGTGGGGAGGGTGGGCTTCTTACCTGCCTGTGCCTCAGTTTCCCACCTGCAAAAACCAACTCATAGGGTTGTGGCAAGGATTAAATGAGGTGACACTTGCAAATCAGTCAGAGCAGTGCCTGAGTCACAGTAGATCATCACTTATTATTGTTCCCACTTTAGAGATGAGGAACTGAGGCTCAGAGACTTGCCCAAGGTCACACAGCAAGTCAGTGGTGGAAACGGGATTCAGGTCTGGGTCAGCCTCATCCAGAGCTGGTGAGCTCTGGAGCTGAAGGGGTTGAGGGGCACCTTGCCTCCCTTTCCCTCACTTACACAGTGAGGGGGCCCAGAGAAATAATGTGGGTCCTAGAATTCTGGGAGCCTGAGTATGTGGATG